>NT_167249.2:3215068-3369633 GCF_000001405.40 Homo sapiens | reverse complement strand
GGCCAGCGCATGGGCCCTGTGTCTGTCGTCGGGGTGACAGGTGAGTGGATGATGGGAGCCCCAGGGTGGGAGCCATGGGAGGGTCACCCTCTTGCTCTTTGGTGATGACTGGTGGGGAATGGGACAAGGGTCTGGTCAGCACCACAGACCTGCTTGTGGCTGGGGCTGGGGCTCCCCTTGGGCCTTCCTGTGAGGTTGACCACTGGCTCCTCCTGAACAGAGAGGGGCCATCGGGAATTTTGCTGTGCTGGTGGCTGTCCCAGGTCCCCCACAGCTGACCCTGGAACTTGTCATGTGTGTTAGCTGTCAGCTGAGCAGGACCACCCAGCCCCAAGAGTAGGCCTCTCTGAACTGACCTCGGGTCCCCCAGTCATAGCCTTGGCTTCTCCCTCCTTTTCCCCAGTACCCAAGGACATCCCCCTCACTCTCTCTTCCTCCTTCTCAGCTGCAGAGGAAGAGACCCCCAGCCCCACAGAACCCAGCATGGAGGCCCCGGAGCCCGCTGAGGAGCCGCTCCTGGGGGAGCTAACAGTGACAGGATCCTCCCCTGACTCGCTGAGCCTCTCCTGGACCGTCCCCCAGGGCCGCTTCGACTCCTTCACCGTGCAGTACAAGGACAGGGACGGGCGGCCCCAGGTGGTGCGTGTTGGGGGCGAGGAGAGTGAAGTCACCGTGGGGGGCCTGGAGCCTGGGCGCAAGTACAAGATGCACCTGTACGGCCTCCACGAGGGGCGGCGCGTGGGCCCAGTGTCTGCTGTGGGCGTCACGGGTGAGTGTGCACTGCAGAGCCCTCTGGGTTGGGTCTTAGCAAAGTACAGCCTCCAGCATCTCCTCCACTAGGGACCCAGAACCCCAAGACCTCAAACCTGTAATACACCCTGTTCACTAAAGGCTCAGGACAGGTGTGATCTGGGGACAGAGAGAGCAAATCCAGGAGAAGTGTCGGAGCCATATGGGAAAGGCCCCCAGGGACTGAGGCCTCTTGGGAGGTGATTCACTGGCTGGTTTGTGGCTCTCCGCTTTTCCTTGGAACTCTATACATAACTCTTTTTGTGAGATTGGAACACATTTTTGAAATACAAATTAATTAAATTAATAAGTATTTGTTAAATAAAATTTCAAATGTATAAACAGAAAGAATAGTACAAAGACCCTGCCATCCTCCTTCAATCAAATATCGACTTCTGGCCAGTCTGGCTCATCTCTGCCCCACCCACTTCCTCCACTAGAATCACTAGAATGTTTTCTTTCTTTCTTTCTTTCTTTCTTTCTTTCTTTCTTTCTTTCTTTCTTTCTTTCTTTCTTTCTTCCTTCCTTTCTTTCTTTCTCTTTCTTTCTTTCTTTCATTCTTTTCTTTTCTTTCTTTCTTTTTAGACAAGGTCTCACTCTGTCGCCTGGGCTAGAGTGTACTGGCACAGTCACAATTCACTGCACTGCAGCCTCAACCTCCTGGGCTTAAGGGATCCTCCCACTTCAGCCTCCCGAATAGCTGGGACTACAAGTGCACTCCACCATGCCCAGCTAATTTTTTGTATTTTTTGTAGAGACAGGGTTTAGCCATGTTGCCCAGGCCAGTCTCGAACTCCTGGGCTCAAGTTATCCTCCCACCTCAGCCAAAGTGATAGGATTCCAGGCGTGAGCCGCCACACCCGGCCTGAATGTTTTCTTTATTAACACCTTTATGGAGATATAATTCATGTGGCATAAAATACACTTGTTTTTAGTGTACAACTTACTGATTTTAGTATCTTTACCTACTTGTGCAGCCATCACCACGATCTAATTTTAGAACTTTTCCATCACCCCCAAAAGAAATCTTGGGTCCAGACCCATTCCTACCTCAGCCCTAGTTTATAACTAATCTACTTTTTTCTCTGTAGATTGCTGTTCCAGAACATTTCGTATAAATGGACTCAAACAATATGTATTCTTTTGTGTCTAGCTTCTTTCACTGAGCATAATGTTTTTGAGGTTCATCAATGTAGCATGTAGAAGTACTATACTTACTACATTGCTATTGATTGATTGATTGATTGATTGATTGATTTTTTTTGAGACAAATTCCCACTCTATTGCCCAGGCTATAGTGCAGTGGCATGATCATAGCTCACTGCAGCCCCAGACTCCTGGGCTCAAGCCATCCTCCCATCTCAGCCCCCCAGGTAGCTGGGGCCACAGGTGCTCGCCACCACACTCAGCTAATTTAAAAAAATTTTTTGTAGAGATGGGGTCTCACAGTGTTACCCAGGCTGATATCAAACTCCTGGCTTCAAGGAATCCTCCTGCCTGGGCCTTACAAAGTGCTGGGATAGCAGGCATGAGCCACCTGCTCTCTCTCAGCCACTACACTGCTTTTTATTGCCAAACAGTATTGCATTGTGTGGTTATACTACTGCAGTATTTTAAAAACGAACCACAGACATCCTATGCTTTCATCACTAAATATTTAAAGGTATATCTCTTTTTAAAAAAATTATTTTTAAAAAATCCACAATATGGCCAGGTGAGGTGGTTCACGCTTGTAATCCCAGCACTTTGGGAGGCCAAGGCAGGTGGATCACTTGAGGTAAAGAGTTCAAGACCAGCCTGACCAACATGGTGAAACCCCGTCTCTACTAAAAATAATAATAATAATAATAAATTTTAAAAAGTACAAAAAAGCGGAGCGTGGTGGCACGTGCCTGTAGTCCCAGCTACTTGGCGGGGGTTGAGGCACAAGAAATTGCTTGCACCCAGGAGGTGGAGGTTGCAGTGAGCCAAGATCGCGCCACTGCACTCCAGCCTGGGTGACAGAGTGAGACTCTGTGTCAAAAAATAAATAAATAAATAATAAAATTCCACAATACAATTAGCATACCTTGATAAGTGAACAATCATGCCTTGATATCAAGTATCCAGGTAGTGCTACAGTCTCCCGAGTGTCTCATAATTGTTGTTTCCCAATTTGTTGCTGAAATCAGGTCTATAGAAGGAGGATACATTGCAATTGAGAAAACTGAAATTTTAAATAGAGTAATCAGGGAAGGCCCACAGAAGAAGGTGGCTTTTGAACAAAGACTTAAAGGAAGTGTGGGGATGAGCCATGAAGATATCTGGGGAAAGAACATTTAGGTAGAGGGAACAGTCATTGTAAAAGTACTGAGGTAGGAGGCTGCCTGGCATGGTTGAGGGACCATAAGGAAGCCACAAAATCTGATTATGATTATAATCAGAAATTGATCTTAAGTTAGGGCCAGACTGGGCCCACCTTCTGACCTGAATTCAAGACAGCTGGGGCCTCAACACCTCCTTGCAGCAAGAGAAAAGATTCTGTTTCTATCTCTTCCTAGCCCCCGAAGAGGAGTCCCCTGATGCTCCTCTTGCAAAGCTGCGCCTAGGGCAGATGACAGTGAGAGACATCACCTCCGACTCCCTCAGCCTCTCCTGGACAGTCCCCGAGGGCCAGTTTGACCATTTCTTGGTCCAGTTTAAGAATGGGGATGGGCAGCCCAAGGCGGTGCGGGTGCCGGGACACGAGGATGGGGTCACCATCTCGGGCCTGGAGCCAGACCACAAGTACAAGATGAACCTGTACGGCTTCCACGGTGGCCAGCGCGTGGGCCCCGTGTCTGCTGTTGGTTTAACTGGTGAGTGTGCAGTAGGGCACTGGGCCCTGCCCTGAACTAGACTCAGTTTCCCTTTTATTGTCAGTATCTGGTGGCTTTATTTTACTTTCCCTGAGACCAAGCCTCCCAAGCTCCTGGGAATGGTTCTGCTGGTGCCTTCACTCCGAGACTTTGGTATTGCCCCAGGTCTTCTGCCCGTTACACATGGGCTTTTTGGGTTCCCAAAGAGGTGGGGGACCAGGAAAATAACACAGACTGAGGCACACCTGGGGTTGACCATAGCTTCAGCCCATTTGAGCTGTGTGTCCTCAAGAGACTCACACAACCTGTCTGGGCACGGTGGCTCATGCCTGTAATCCCAGCACTTTGGGAGGCCGAAGGGGGCAGATCACTTGAGGTCAGGAGTTCGAGACGAGCCTGGCCAACATCATGAAACCCCCATCTCTACTAAAAATACAAAAATTAGCTGGGTGTGGTGGCACATGCCTGTAGTCCCAGCTACTCGGGAGGCTAAGGCGGGAGAATCGCTTGAACCCAGGAGGCGGAGGTTGCAGTGAGCCGAGATCGAGCCACTGCACTCCAGCCTGTGTGACAGAGTGAGACCCTGTCTCAAAAAAACAAAACAAGCAAACAAAAAACAGACACACGACCTCTCTGTACATCCTTTTCCTCATCTGTAAAGAAGGAATAACCATACCTGTCGTGAAGGGTGGGCGGGAGTGTGGCTTGGCTCTCACACACAATGAGAGATAACTGCAGTCTTTCCCTTCTGAGGAAGGTAGGTAGTTCCTGAAAACCGCTTAGGGCAAATTCTCATAATTATCACTGATTTCAGTGGGAAAAATTGTATGTGTTCTCTAAGCTCCCAAATTAATACCCATTTATTTTTAAAACAACACTGAATCCTGTTAACATGGATACTATTACTTTAATTGTAAATATTGGCCATGTGCACAACTTAATAAGGCATTTTCCTTTCATTACCCTGTAACTCGGCTCTTTGATGCTTTTGTAAGCTCTTTTATAGCTGTTACCCCCTAGATGCTTAAGACTCAGTTCTCAAAAAGAACAGACAAATGAAATGTGATGAATTTGTAATACCACTATCAAGGCAGAATAAAACCCTATGAAGAGCAGAAAAGATTAAAGAAATCAATGAAAACAAAGCAATTGATTTCACACGGGCCAAAAGAACTGGCATCACTGGAGGTGCTCTCTCTGCCGTAAGTTAGCAGAGCTACTGCAGGTCCAGAGACAACTCAGCTGCAAAGATGCCCTCATGTGGTCTCATCTCTCTACCCTCAGCTATAAAATCTAAGTTGGTTTCTAAAAATGCTCAGGATTAGGTGGAATTTCCAAGCCCAGGTGGATGAACCTCCTGATACAACTTGCCTGTTGTGTTTGGTTGGTGTTCTTTGTTTTCTTTTTTTTTTTTTTCTTTATGTTGAGATGGAGTCTCACTCTGTCACCCAGGCTCTCAGGCTGGAGTGCCGTGGTGCGATCTCAGCTCATTGCAACCTCTGCCTCCCAGGTCCAAGCAGTTCTCCTGCCTCAGCCTTCCGAGTAGCTGGGATTACAGGCATGCACCAGCACATCTGGCTAATTTTTGTATTTTTAGTACAGACAGGATTTCGCCATGTTGGCCAGGCTGGTCTCAAGCTCCTGACCTCAGGTGATCCTCCCGCCTCGGCCTCCCAAAGTGCTGGGATTACAGGCCTGAGCCACCACGCCTGGCCCTGATTGCTGTTTTTTGTTTGTTTGTTTGTTTTTGTTTGTTTGTTTTTTTCTTGAGAAGGAGTCTCGCTGTCTCCCAGGATGGAGTGCAGTGGCGTGATCTTGGCTCACCGCAAGCTCCGCCTCCTGGGTTCATGCCATTCTCCTGCCTCAGCCTCCTGAGTAGCTGGGACTACAGGTGCCCGCCAACACGCCTGGCTAATTTTTTGTATTTTTAGTAAAGACGGGGTTTCACAGTGTTAGCCAGGATGGTCTCAATCTCCTGACCTCATGATCCGCCCGCCTCGGCCTCCCAAAGTGCTGAGATTACAGGCCTGAGCCACCACACCCGGCCCTGGTTGGTGTTCTTATAAAGCATCAATTCTGTCCTGCAAAACAAATTTGCTTGGCAGCTCCTAAGGGTCCCAGGCCTGCACACTGAGCATCACAGGGATGCCACCTGAGCATCATGACTTCACCACAGGTGTGGTGTTAACTGAACATTCAAAGCAGAAAAATGATATTCTAAGCTTGGGGCACCAGCATCCAGACTGTGGGCCCTTGGTGTGTCTAAGAGAATCCCAGAGTCCCTTGGTTAAAAGGAGGCCCACCAGGCATGCCTACCCATTCTATTTTCTGATGCAGCCCCAGGAAAGGATGAAGAAATGGCCCCAGCCTCGACAGAACCTCCCACCCCTGAACCCCCCATCAAGCCTCGCCTGGAGGAGCTGACCGTGACAGATGCGACCCCTGACTCCCTCAGCCTGTCCTGGACGGTTCCCGAGGGACAGTTTGACCACTTCCTGGTCCAGTACAAGAATGGGGATGGGCAGCCCAAGGCAACACGGGTGCCAGGACATGAGGACAGGGTCACCATCTCCGGCCTGGAGCCAGACAACAAGTACAAGATGAACCTGTACGGCTTCCACGGTGGCCAGCGTGTGGGCCCCGTGTCTGCCATCGGGGTGACAGGTGAGTGGACGATGGGAGCCCCAGGGTGGGAGCCATGGGAGGGTCACCCTCTTGCTCTTTGGTGATGACTGGTGGGGAATGGGACGGGTCTGGTCAGCACCACAGACCTACTTGTGGCTGGGGCTGGGGCTCCCATTGTACCTTTTTGTGTGGTTGACCCCTGGCTCCCCCTGAGCAGGGAGGGGCCATTGGGAGTTTTGCTGTGCTGGTGGCTGTGCCAGGTCCCCCACAGCTGACCCTGGAATTTGTCATGTGTGTTAGCTGTCAGCTGAGCAGGACCCCAAGAATGGGCCTCTCTGAACTGACCTCAGGTCCCCTAGTCATAGCCTTGGCTATTTCATATGTCCCCTAGTCATAGCCTTCTCCCTCCTTTTCCCCACGACGTAAGCACATCCCCCAGGGACCCTGCCATCCTCTCTGTGTCCCTTTTTCTCAGCTGCAGAGGAAGAGACCCCCAGCCCCACAGAACCCAGCATGGAGGCCCCGGAGCCCCCTGAGGAGCCGCTCCTGGGGGAGCTGACAGTGACAGGATCCTCCCCTGACTCGCTGAGCCTCTCCTGGACCGTCCCCCAGGGCCGCTTCGACTCCTTCACCGTGCAGTACAAGGACAGGGACGGGCGGCCCCAGGTGGTGCGTGTTGGGGGCGAGGAGAGCGAGGTCACCGTGGGGGGCCTGGAGCCTGGGCGCAAATACAAGATGCACCTGTACGGCCTCCACGAGGGGCGGCGCGTGGGCCCGGTGTCCACCGTGGGCGTGACTGGTGAGTAGTGCTTGGAGTCTCGGGGTAACCACCTTTCCCTCATGGGTACCTGGTTTACTGCTGTGCCCTTTCACCAAGCCCTGTGGGTCCAGACTTGTCTCCTGTGTCCTGCCCTCCCTCTGTGCCCTGTGGCTGTGGCCTATGCTAGCGGTTTGCTTGTTCACTTTGGCGTGGCCTCCCTCTAATGGTCAACCACTGATAACCTCCAAGAGTGAAATATGTCAGGCGCACACCAAGCCTGACTTACGAGAATTTTCCTTTCTTTCCATCTTAATAACAGCATTCTTTGTTATAACCACATACACAAATGCACACAAGAGGAACAATCCAACGTCAAACCACGTTGGGATGACTAAATAATTTAGGCAACATCTATAAAAAGAGCTATTATGCCGCCACTGAAATGTTTTAACATAAGACCCTTACTTTATAATGTTACATTGAAAAAAGAGAGCCTAGGCTGGGCACAGTGGCTTACGCCTGTAATCCCAGCACTTTGGGAGGCCGAGGCGGGCTGATCGCCTGAGGTCAGGAGTTCCAGACCAGTCTAGCCAACATGGTGAAACCCCATCTCTACTAAAAATACAAAAATTAGCCAAGCATGGTGGCACATGCCTGTAATCCCAGTTACTTGGGAGGTGGAGGCACGAGAATTGCTTGAACCCGGGAGGCAGAGGTTGCAGTGAGCCGAGATCACCACTGCACTCCAGCCTGGCAGATACAGCCAAACTCAGTCTCAAAAAAGAAGAAAAAGGAGCCCAAATTTTTGTAAGGATGCTAATCACAACCATTTGAAAGTAACAGGCATGGCAAGAAGACTGGAAAGAAACACATCCCACGGGTTGCCTGATTTGTTAGATAGAATAGAATATTCCAGCACATTTTTTTCTGTATTATTCTATTCTGCATAGTCCAAATTTTCTTAAATGGCAAACATTTCTTTTACAATCAGGGAAAGGGAAAAGAGAAAATATATAATGTCTTCTCCTTCTTTACACTCCATCTGTCCTACTCCTCTATCGCTCTTGTGGCTTATTTCATTTATTTCCTTCTTTTTTTTTTTTGAGATGAAGTTTCGCTCTTGTCGCCCAGGCTGGAGTGCAATGGCATGATCTCGGCTCACTACAACCTCTGCCTCCTGGATTCAAGCGATTCTCCTGCCTCAGCCTCCCGAGTAGCTGGGATTACAGGCATGCGCCACCACATCTGGCTAATTTTGTATTTTTAGTAGAGAGGGAGTTTCTCCATGTTGGTCAGGCTGCTCAAACTCCTGACCTCAGGTGATCTGCCCGCCTCGGCCTCCCAAAGTGCTGGGATTACAGGCATGAGCCACCGCGCCCAGCCAGACTTATTTCATTTCTAATTATGAGGAAGTTCAAAATTTCTAGTCCATAAGAAATTGGAGGGGTGGAGATCATGAGGTTAATTGAATTCCAAATGCTCAGTCAGGCTGCCTTTTCTAAGTCATCCTCAGCCAGGTTGTTATGCCTGGCTTAGAGTATTTTTCGAGAATTCCTACCGATGGGGAAGAATCAGCCCTGCTGAGAGGCGGTCTCTTGCAGGGCAGGTCGCCACCTCTGTGGCACCAAGTGAGGTGCGAGCTCATCTCCCAAAGGCCATCCAGACAGAGGAAGCACTCTCAATCGGCATCCCCGATTCCTGGGGGAGAGGCCTCATTTCCATATGCATGTTCAGAGGACCATCTGAGTGTTGGGAAACAGGGGGAATAGGGAAATTATTGGAAAATGAACATTAGAAAAATTCACATTCCGGGGGTAAGCTGTCCTGGTCCACGTTCAGTTTTGTGTTCCTGTCTCCACTGTGGGGAACCACAGAACTGACAGAGGACAGGCTGAGGGACCCACCCCTGCCCCTCCTGTTCTATGTGTATTGCTGCCCCACCCCCACCCCACACTCTATTATTAATTGTTGTAGCCCAGAATTTCTTTCTTTCTTTTTCTTTTTTTTTTTTTTTTTTGAGACTGAGTCTCACTCTGTTGCCCAGGCTGGAGTGCAGTGGTGTGATCTCAGCTCACTGCAACCTCTGCCTCCCAGGTTCAAGTGATTGTCCTGCCTCAGCCTCCTGAGTAGCTGGGATTACAGGTGCATGCCACCACGCCTGGCTAATTTTTGTATTTTCAGTAGAGACCGGGTTTCATGATATTGGCCAAGCTAGACTCGAATTCCCAACCTCAGGTGATCCACCCGCCTCGGCCTCCCAAAATGCTAGGATTACAGGCGTGAACCACTGCTCCCAGCCCAGAATTTCTTTTTTAGCCCACGTTTTTCTAGTGAAAATAATACAGCAACATTATGTGGAAAGCTTGAAAAACAGAAAACAAGAATCTCATAGTCCTACTTTCTCCCCCAGCTGCCGGCATTAATAACAATGTGTGTAGTGCACATTCCCTTCCTGTATTTTGCATGCAGAGCGTGTTTTAAAGTTGCAATCAGTGTTCATAAAGTTCTTGGCACTTCCTTTTTTGTACACAAGTACATTGTAATCATTCACCTCACGGCTACACAACCAGCATTCATCATCGTTTCAATGGTTATTTGATGCGTTGCGGTGAAAGCACTATAACAAAATTAATCATCTTCTACGGGTCATTTGTGTTCCTGACACATCTGCTGTCATGAATAACCCCATCGTGAGTTCTTCCATGCTATAACTTTTTCCTGCTTTAATAATTTTCTTAGGACAGATGCCCAGAACTGGGATTATTGGGTCAAAGGAAATGAGAATTACTTTGGCTCCTGACACTATGTCTCAGTTGCCTTCTGGAGGTTTCTAACAGTGCAGCTCTGCCAGCAGTACAGGCCGGGGGCTCGGGGATACCTCACCGGCTCTTATTCCAAGAGTCACTGAACGGCGAACACAAAGCTGCCCCAGCCCTCAGCCTGCTCTGGAGGGGCGCATTTGATGTATGACCTCTGTTGACAGCACCAGCAAAGCAAGTTGCCCTTAAACCCTTAAACTCTGTATCCCCCTATATTACCTTTCAGCCCCACAAGAGGATGTGGACGAGACCCCCAGCCCTACAGAACCAGGCACAGAGGCCCCAGAGCCCCCCGAGGAGCCTCTCCTGGGGGAGCTGACAGTGACAGGATCCTCCCCTGACTCGCTGAGCCTTTCCTGGACCGTCCCCCAGGGCCGCTTTGACTCCTTCACCGTGCAGTACAAGGACAGGGACGGGCGGCCCCAGGCGGTGCGTGTTGGGGGCCAGGAGAGCAAGGTCACTGTGAGGGGCCTGGAGCCTGGGCGCAAGTACAAGATGCACCTGTACGGCCTCCACGAGGGGCGGCGCCTGGGCCCGGTGTCTGCCGTGGGCGTCACAGGTGAGTGAGTGTGGGTGGGGCAGGGTTGGAAGACAGCCCTAGAAAATGTGCCCTTCTCTACCATTTTCCTATACATATTTCTGTCTTGATGGGGCTCACAGTGAAAGGAATATAGCAACATTATGGAAAGACATGTCATGGAGAGACAGGCTGCAATCCAGCAAATGAAGCAAAGGCGGGTGAGCATGTGATAGGGAGGCCCAGGGCTCAGGTCAGGACCAGACAGGGACGCCTAAGTCACCCTGCCCATGGGTACCCAGGGGACAGCCAGGACCTGAGGCCAGGCATGCCTTAGCTTGGTGACAGCTTTAGAGAGAAGGTGAAGTGTGTCAGATAATCACAGCTGGTGCAAAGGCCAGGAGGCTAGAAAGAGCATGGCACGTGAGAGGCACTGAGGATTGAGTGGGGTGTCCTTTACGGTGAGTATCTCATCCTGAAGTGTGGGAGCAGAGGAGGGGACCACTCACCAGGCCTGGGGTCTCCCAGGGATGAGGATGTGGTTGCCCAGGTCTGTGCTGAGATGGCCCCAGCAGCTGTGCCTGTGTGAAGCTCATCCGTGGGGGCTGAAGATGGGGATGGGGTGGCAGGGAGCCTGGAGGCAGCGAGGCCAGTAGGCAGTTGGTGGCCCTGGTGAGAGGTGACAGTGGCTCAAACTAGGATCGGGGACTGGAGGTGGGGTAGGAAGGTATCCAGGGGAATTCAGGGTAAAGATGCTCTGAGGCTGCTGGCAGCTGGTGAGGAGCTGGATCCAGGAACACACCCCAGGCTCTGGCCTCGGGAGGAGTGTGCTGAGCTTGTTGCGGAGCAAAGACAGAAGCCCAGTGAACAAAAGATGGCGAAGAGACCCCAGTGCTGGGAGGCCAGGGGTGCAGAGGCCGAGTGGGGCTGTGCTCAAAAGAGAGGCGGTGCTGGAGGGACAGGGAGAGGTGGCCTGGGTGTTGGGAGGTGGGGGTGAGGTGGGGGCTGAGGGCAGGAGGGTCAGGGTGAGGGATAGGAAAGGCCGCAGGAGAGGAGAGGATGAAGAGCTGTGCTGGAGGGGCTGTGGGCAGCATCGTCCTGCTCTTGGGCACTTTGTGTTTTGTGACACATCCTTTCTATGCTGAACTGAGGAGCCAGGGACCTCACTGTCCCCACACGTGTCTGTCCAACTCCAGAGGATGAAGCCGAGACCACCCAAGCAGTGCCTACCATGACCCCTGAGCCCCCCATCAAGCCTCGCCTGGGGGAGCTGACCATGACAGATGCCACCCCTGACTCCCTCAGCCTGTCCTGGACGGTTCCCGAGGGCCAGTTTGACCACTTCCTGGTCCAGTACAGGAATGGGGATGGGCAGCCCAAGGCGGTGCGGGTGCCGGGGCACGAGGACGGGGTCACCATCTCAGGCCTGGAGCCAGACCATAAATACAAGATGAACCTGTACGGCTTCCACGGTGGCCAGCGCGTGGGCCCCATCTCTGTCACTGGGGTGACGGGTGAGTGGATGATGGCAGCCCCAGGGTGGGAGCCGTGGGAGGGTCACCCTCTTGCTCTTTGGTGATGACTGGTGGGGAATGGGCCAGGGGTCCGGTCAGCACCACAGACCTGCTTGTGGCTGGGGCTCCCCTTGGGCCTTCCTCTGAGGCTGACCCCTGGCTCCTCCTGAGCAGGGAGGGGCCATCAGGAGTTCTGCTGTGCTGGTGACTGTCCCAGGTCCCCCACAGCTGACCCTGGAACTTGTCATGTGTGTTAGCTGTCAGTTGAGCAGGACCACCCAGCCCCAAGAATGGGCTTTTCTGAAATGACCTCACATACCCAGTAGTGGCCATGGTTTCTCCCTCCTTCCCTTGAAGACCTGAGCACATCCCCCAGGCACCTGGCATCCTCTCTATATCTCCTTTTCTCAGCTGCAGAGGAAGAGACCCCCAGCCCCACGGAACTCAGCACTGAGGCCCCGGAGCCCCCTGAGGAGCCGCTCCTGGGGGAGCTGACAGTGACAGGATCCTCCCCTGACTCGCTGAGCCTCTCCTGGACCATCCCCCAGGGCCACTTCGACTCCTTCACCGTGCAGTACAAGGACAGGGACGGGCGGCCCCAGGTGATGCGTGTCAGGGGCGAGGAGAGCGAGGTCACCGTGGGGGGCCTGGAGCCCGGGCGCAAATACAAGATGCACCTGTACGGCCTCCACGAGGGGCGGCGTGTGGGCCCGGTGTCCACCGTGGGTGTGACAGGTGAGTGTTTGTGAGTGAGGAAGATGGCCCTAGAAGATGTTGCTTTCTCTGCAACTTCATGAAAACAAAAATATTCTCACCAGCCGGGCTTCTTTTGCACGTTTCCATGCTTGGGGATCTTGCTAAGAGGCAGATTGGGGTTCAACAGGTTTGGGCTAGGGCCAGAGATTCTGCATTTCCAACAAGAAATGATGCGGATGCTGCTGGCCCATGATCACGCCCCTTGAGTAGCAAAGTTCTTCACGACAAAGGAATTGGACCCTCTTTTGAAATCTGTTGAAGAGAATTTTTCTGCGTCCCTGATTCCTGGTAGTGTGCTTTCTCTGTGGAGTTGACTAGGGGCCGTGAAGGAAGACAGAAGGCAGTGAGGGGCAGCGCGTCGACTGCACACTCTGGAAGCCCACTATTGGAATAGGAATAGGAACAGACCTTTCTCACCAATGGGCCAATTTGTTCATTCAGCAAAGAATTCCTTGCCCTGATCCGGACACTGTAATTTTAGGGTATCAATGTCCTCTGGCCAACGACCTCCAGAAACTCACCTAAAATTGAATGGATGGAATTATGCTCCATGCAGTGCAGGAGGACTGTGGGGTGACTTAGGAAGAGGCTTTAGAAAGAGATTGTTAAGGAACTGGGCTTGTGTTTGGTGTTTTAGGAAAGCATTTAAGGAAGCAAGGTTTTGCTCTTTATTAGACGCTGTCAGGAAGAAGGGATAACCCTATTACCAGGCGTCTCACTAAGTCTTATCTTTGGGGAGGTCAACTAGAGCAAGGCCAAAGCTGCCATTGGTAAAGAAGCAGCTATCACTCAGATTAGCTGGATGGGTGATGTTTGGTTATTTTTGTGCTTTGGAAAATGTTAGAGTTCATCCTTACTGAGACATGATCACAGACTGGCCTTGTTCTTGTCTTGATCCATCCTACTGACAAATGGCCTAGTCTGATGTTGATGTTCCATGAAATTGTCTGTTCAACTGGACCACGCCAAGACCAGACTGTGCCAGGCCAGCCCCAAGCAGCCGTGGCCTGGCAGAGGGAAAGGGCAGCTCACGGGTGTCAGGGCTGCCTTTTTCTTTCATAGGCGGAAGCTGGAAAGTGACACACACAAGTTCATGTTTTCATGGGGCTCACAATTGTGGGCACAAGCAGAAAACCGGAAAGTAAGCAAAGAAGGATGAGCATGTGGAGCCCAGGAGCCAAGCCAGGATTGGGAAGGGACAGTGAAGTCACTCTGCCCACAAGTACCCAGGGGACAGCCAGGACCTGAGGCCAGGCAGGCCTTAGCTTGATGACAGCTTTGGAGAGGAAGTGAAGCATGTCAAATCATCACAGCTAGTGCAAAGGCCAGGAGGCTAGAAAGAGCATGGTGTGTGAGAGACACTGAGGATTGAGTGGGGTGTCCTTTGCAGTTGGTGGATCATCCTGAAGTGTGGGAGCAGAGGAGGGGACCACTCACCAGGCCTGGGGTCTCCCAGGGATGAGGATGTGGTTGCCCAGGTCTGTGCTGAGATGGCCCCAGCAGCTGTGCCTGTGTGAAGTTCATCCGTGGGAGCTAAAGATGGGGATGGGGTGGCAGGGAGCCTGGAGGCAGGGAGGCCAGTAGGCAGTTGGTGGCCCTGGTGAGAGGTGACAGTGGCTCAAACTAGGATTGGGGACTGGAGGTGGGGGAGGAAGGTATCCAGGGAAACTCGGGGGAGAGGTACTCTGAGGCTGCTGGCAGCTGGTGAGGGGCTGGGTCCAGGAACACACCCCAAGCTCTGGCCTCGGGAGGAGTGTGCTGAGCTTGTAGCGGAGCAAAGACAGAAGCCCAGTGAACAAAAGATGGCGAGGAGACACCAGTGCAGGGAGGCTAAGGGTGCAGAGGCCGAGTGGGGCTGTGCTCAAAAGAGAGGCGGTGCTGGAGGGACAGGGAGAGGTGGCCTGGGTGTTGGGAGGTGGGGGTGAGGTGGGGGCTGAGGGCAGGGGGGTCAGGGTGAGGGATAGGAAAGGCCGCAGGAGAGGAGAGGATGAAGAGCTGTGCTGGAGGCGCTGTGGGCAGCATCGTCCTGCTCTTGGGCACTTTGTGTTTTGTGACACATCCTTTCTATGCTGAACTGAGAACCCAGGGACCTCACTCTCCCCACACGTGTCTGTCCAGCTCCAGAGGATGAAGCAGAGACCACCCAAGCAGTGCCCACCACAACCCCTGAGCCCCCCAACAAGCCTCGCCTCGGGGAGCTGACCGTGACAGATGCCACCCCTGACTCCCTCAGCCTGTCCTGGATGGTCCCCGAGGGCCAGTTTGACCACTTCCTGGTCCAGTACAGGAATGGGGATGGGCAGCCCAAGGTGGTGCGGGTGCCGGGGCACGAGGACGGGGTCACCATCTCAGGCCTGGAGCCAGACCACAAGTACAAGATGAACCTGTACGGCTTCCACGGTGGCCAGCGCGTGGGCCCCATCTCTGTCATTGGGGTGACAGGTGAGTGTACGATGGGAGCCCCAGAGTGGGGCCTGTGGGAGGGTCTCCCTTTCTCTGGTGATGGGTGAACTGGCCCAGGAAGCCCCTCTGCTCTTGGCTGAGCCATGGTACTTTTTTGTCTTTCCCCACTTCCCTGAGGACTGACAGATCTTCCTGGGTGGAGAAGGGCCCTGTGAGCTCTGTTGGTGGCTGTCCCAAGTTCCCCAGCACTGACCTCAGAGCTTGTCATGTGTGTTGACTGTAAACTGAGCAAGACCACCCAGCTCCAAAGATGGGCCTCTCCAAGCTGACCCCAGGACCCCCACTCATGGCCACAGCTTCGCTCTCCTTCCTCACAAGACCCAAGGACATCCCCCAGGGAAGCTGCCTCACCTTCTCTGTCCCCTCTTCTCAGCTGCAGAGGAAGAAACTCCCGCCCCCACAGAACCCAGCACGGAGGCCCCGGAGCCCCCTGAGGAGCCGCTCCTGGGGGAGCTGACAGTGACAGGATCCTCCCCTGACTCGCTGAGCCTCTCCTGGACCATCCCCCAGGGCCGCTTCGACTCCTTCACTGTGCAGTACAAGGACAGGGACGGGCGGCCCCAGGTGGTGCGTGTCAGGGGCGAGGAGAGCGAGGTCACCGTGGGGGGCCTGGAGCCCGGGTGCAAATACAAGATGCACCTGTACGGCCTCCACGAGGGGCAGCGCGTGGGCCCAGTGTCCGCTGTGGGTGTGACAGGTGAGTAAGTGTGAGTGAGGCGAGGTGGGGAAGATGGCCCTGGAAGACACTGCTGTCTCTCCAGTCTTCGTGAAAACATACTCTGAAGAGTATTCCTTCCTTTGTGTATCCAAATGCCTGGAGATTTTTGTTAAAAAGCAGATTTGGATTCAGCAGGCTTGGCCTAGGGCAAGAGACCATGCATTTCTTTCTTTTTCTTTCTTTCTTTTTTTTTTTTTTGAGATAGAGTCTCGCTTTGTCACCCAGGCTGGAGTACAGTGGCTCAATCTCGGCTCACTGGAACCTCCGCCTCCTGGGTTCAAGTGATTCTCCTACCTCAGCCTCCTGAGTAACTGGGACTACAGGCGTGCGCCACCACGCCCAGCTAATTTTTTCATATTTTTAGTAGAGATGGGTTTCACCGTGTTAGCCAGGATGGTCTCAATCTCCTGACCTCGTGATCTGCCCTCCTCGGCCTCCCAAAGTGCTGGGATCATAGGCGTGAGCCACGGCGCCCAGCCGACCATCCATTTCTAACAAGATTCTCATCTATCTTGATGCCACTGGTCCAAGGAACACACTTTTTTTGTTGTTTTTTATTGTAGTAAAGTACACTTGACATAATTCGCCATTCTAATCGCTTTCTAGTTTGCAGTCCAGCATGAAGTCCACTCACATTGCTGTGGACTGTCACCCTCCACTTCCAGAACTCCTCTTCCCAGACTGAAACTTCCTACCCACTAGACACGAACTCCCATTCTCCCCTTGCCCCAGCCCCTGGCAACACCATTCTACTCTCTGTCTCTATGAATTTGACTCTAGGTACCTCATATAAGTGCAATCATACAATATTTGTCTTTTTTGAATGGTTCATTTCATTAAATACAATGTCTTTAAGGTTCATCTATGTCGTAGCATCAGTCAGAATTTCCTTTTTATTTTATTTTCTGTGGCAATGGGGGTCTCGGTATGTTGCCCAGGCTGGTCTCAAACTCCTGGCCTCAAGCGAGTCTCCCACCTTGACCTCCCAAAGTGCTGGGATTATAGGCAAGAGCCACTGCACCTGGCCAGAACTTCCTTCCTTTTCAGGCTGAATAATGTTTCGTTTTACACATACAGACCACACTTTGCTCATCCTTTCATCCATTGATGGACATCTGGGTTGCTTCCACCTCTTAGCTATCAAGAATAATGCTGCTATGAATATTTGTGTGCAAATCACAGAACACCTTTGTAGCAAAGCTCCTCCCAGTAACAGATTTGGAAACTCTCTTAGAATTTGTTGAAGCGAATTTTTCTTGCATTCATGAATCCTCACAGAGGTTAGGCTCAGAGTTAGGGTTCCTGTCCTAATGGGAAAAGTTCCTGTCCTAATGGGGCTAACGTCATGGGGGACAGGCTGTGGACCAGTAAGAAAGCAAAGGCGGGTGAGCATGTGACAAGAAGCCCAGAGCCAGGCAGGAATACCTAAACCACCCTACCTGTGGATACTCAGGGGACAGTCAGGATCTGAGGCCAGGCAGGCCTTAGCTTGGTGACAGCTTTAGAGAGAAGGTGAAGCGTGTCAGATCAGCACAGGTGGTGCAAAGGCCAGGAGGCTAGAAAGAGCATGGTGTGTGAGAAGTACTGAGGATTGAGTGGGGTGTCCTTTGCAGTGAATAGATAGTCCTGAAGTGTGGGAGCAGAGGAGGCCTGGGGTCTCCCAGGGATGAGGATGTGATTGCCCAGGTCTGTGCTGAGATGGCCCCAGCAGCTGTGCCTGTGTGAAGCTCATCTGTGGGGGCTAAAGATGGGGATGGGGTGGCAGGGAGCCTAGAGGCAGGGAAGCCAATAGGCAGTTGGTGGCCCTGGTGAGAGGTGACAGTGGCTCAAACTAGGATCGGGGACTGGAGGTTGGGGAGGAAGGTATCCAGGGAAACTCGGGGGAGAGGTAACTCTGAGGCTGCTGGCAGCTGGTGAGGGGCTGGGTCCAGGAACACACCCCAGGCTCTGGCCTCGGGAGGAGTGTGCTGAGCTTGTTGCAGAGCAAAGACAGAAGCCCAGTGAACAAAAGATGGCGAGGAGACCCCAGTGCAGGGAGGGTAAGGGTGCAGAGGCCAAGTGGAGCTGTGCTCAAAAGAGAGGCGGTGCTGGAGGGACAGGGAGAGGTGGCCTGGGTGTTGGGAGGTGGGGGTGAGGTGGGGGCCGAGGGCAGGGGGGTCAGGGTGAGGGATAGGAAAGGCCGCAGGGGAGGAGAGGATGAAGAGCTGTGCTGGAGGCGCTGTGGGCAGCATCGTCCTGTTCTTGGGCACTTTGTGTTTTGTGACACATCCTTTCTATGCTGAACTGAGAACCCAGGGTCCTCACTGTCCCCACACGTGTCTGTCCAGCTCCAAAGGATGAAGCCGAGACCACCCAAGCAGTGCCTACCATGACCCCTGAGCCCCCCATCAAGCCTCGCCTGGGGGAGCTGACCGTGACAGATGCCACCCCCGACTCCCTCAGCCTGTCCTGGATGGTTCCCGAGGGCCAGTTTGACCACTTCCTGGTCCAGTACAGGAATGGGGATGGGCAGCCCAAGGCGGTGCGGGTGCCGGGGCACGAGGACGGGGTCACCATCTCAGGCCTGGAGCCAGACCATAAATACAAGATGAACCTGTACGGCTTCCACGGTGGCCAGCGCGTAGGCCCTGTGTCTGCCATTGGGGTGACGGGTGAGTGAATGATGGGAGCCCCAGGGTGGGAGCTGTGGGAGGGCCACCTCTTGCTCTTTGGTGATGACTGGTGGGGAATGGGACAGGGGTCTGGTCAGCACCACAGAACTGCTTGTGGCTGGGGCTGGGACTCCCCTTGGGCCTTCCTATGTGGTTGACCCCTGGCTCCCCCTGAGCAGGGAGGGGCCATCAGGAGTTTTGCTGTGCTGGTGGCTGTGCCAGGTCCCCCACAGCTGACCCTGGAACTTGTTACGTGTGTTAGCTGTCAGCTGAGCAGGACCACCCAGCCCCAAGAATGGACTTCTCTGAAATGACCTCAGGTCCCCCAGTCATAGCCTTGGCTTCTCCCTCCTTTTCCCCAGGACCCAAGGACATCCCCCTCACTCTCTCTCCCTCCTTCTCCACTGCAGAGGAAGAGACCCCCAGCCCCACAGAACCCAGCACTGAGGCCCCGGAGGCCCCTGAGGAGCCGCTCCTGGGGGAGTTGACAGTGACAGGATCCTCCCCTGACTCGCTGAGCCTCTCCTGGACCGTCCCCCAGGGCCGCTTCGACTCCTTCACCGTGCAGTACAAGGACAGGGACGGGCAGCCCCAGGTGGTGCGTGTCAGGGGCGAGGAGAGCGAGGTCACCGTGGGGGGCCTGGAGCCCGGGCGCAAATACAAGATGCATCTGTACGGCCTCCACGAGGGGCAGCGCGTGGGCCCAGTGTCCACCGTGGGCATCACGGGTGAGTGGGGGGACAGGCCCTCGTCCCCAGGTTTACCTCTGCAGCCCCCTTGTGTTTCTCCTTTGGATCTTGGCACCTCTTTTGACTGGGCCTCTAGGTTTCTGTCTTTTCTCCCATGTTGCTAATGATCCTGCCTCATCCTTGGATTCATGGAGACTGTGTGGAGTCAGATGGGCAGGTAGTCCATGCCCTGTTTGTTGTAGCTTCCTTCTCCCATTGTGATCTGGAACCTCCATGTTGCTCGTGTGCTCATTTGTTAGTCTTCAGGCTCCCTTAAGGAGTATTTTAGTGGCTCAGAAAGTGCTTCAGATCCAGCTGCCCAGATCTGCATGTGCCTTCGAATGTAGTGATTGTGCGACTTTGCAGGCGTTTCCTAACCTTGTGCTTCAGATTCCTGCAAAGTTGGGGTGATGATAATAATGGCACCCACTTCATATGTTGTGCGAGGGTTAAATGCACCACTGTTTGTGAGCTGCTTACAGCAATGCAGGGCACAGATTCTAAAACAAGCGTTTTAGAGGAGGCCGCTAAGAAATGCTCACTCCAGTCCTGGGAGAGCACTGCCTCCCTTGCGCAGGGTCCTGCCTCCTGACCCATGGGCCTGCTCTGCTCTTTTCAGCGCCCCTGCCCACACCACTGCCGGTGGAGCCCCGCCTGGGGGAGCTGGCGGTGGCGGCCGTGACCTCGGACTCAGTGGGCCTCTCATGGACGGTGGCCCAGGGCCCCTTTGACTCCTTCCTGGTACAGTACAGGGACGCGCAGGGGCAGCCCCAGGCAGTGCCTGTGAGCGGAGACCTCCGAGCGGTCGCCGTCTCGGGGCTGGACCCGGCCCGCAAGTACAAGTTCCTGCTCTTTGGACTCCAGAATGGGAAACGCCACGGCCCAGTCCCTGTGGAGGCCAGGACCGGTGAGTGAGGGCTGGAGGCCTCCCGCGGCCAGAGCCTTCGCCCCCTTGTGGCACCTGTTGGAATTTCACGTTCTGTGCCCCACACTCCAGTCCTCAGCACCCACTGATTTATTGGGTCCAGGAAAACCCAGGCCCTGAGCTCTCCTCTCCCACTCACACTCATCCCTCTCCCTACTTTCCCTGCACCCCAGGGGACACTTGCTTTCTTGTCTGGCTCCTCTTTTATTCCTACTCCTGGCCCAGTCACCCTCCCGTTCCTGGGACCGGCTCACAGAGCCATAGCAGCCCAGGAAGCTCCGTGGCCCCTTTGCCTCCATCCCACTCTCCATGCACCTCACTGTCTTTTCCAGCCCCAGACACCAAACCGTCTCCCCGCCTGGGGGAGCTGACTGTGACAGATGCGACCCCTGACTCCGTGGGCCTCTCGTGGACGGTCCCTGAGGGCGAATTCGACTCCTTCGTGGTCCAGTACAAGGATAAGGATGGTCGGCTCCAGGTGGTGCCGGTGGCAGCCAACCAGCGGGAGGTCACAGTCCAGGGCCTGGAGCCCAGTAGGAAATACAGGTTCCTGCTCTATGGTCTGTCAGGCAGGAAACGACTGGGCCCCATCTCTGCTGACAGCACCACAGGTGAGTCCCAGTCCAGCCTCCACCTTTTCCAGAGCTGCCTCTCATCCGAGCCCTCAGAGCTGGCCCTGCAGCCTTCCCGTGAGATTCCCTCTATCAGCCCTGACACAACCATCTTAACTCCGAAAGTGAGTCCCTCTGTGTGTCAGGCACAGTTCTGAAGCATATGCATTACTTCCTTTCATTCGCTGACTGCTGAGGAAATAAAAGGGACACGGGCTTTGGGGCCAGCAGATCTGTGTTCCAGTTCCAGTCCTAGCCTTTGCCAGGGTGACCATGGACAAGCCGCTTCATCCCCGGGACCTCAGTGTCCTCACCTGCATAATGCTGGGAATGGCGCTGGACTCAGTAGTGGTTCCCATCCTCCTCCCTCCTCCCTGACTCGGAGCCGAGGGGTGGAAGAAAAGGGAGGGCTTGGCTATGGAAAGACGATGGAAAAACCTGGTGTCACTATGCCTATGACTCAGCTCCCTGAGGAAGGGGTGTGGTGGGTCACCGACCCTCACCCCACTCCCAGGACCATGAGTCACTATGCCCAGAGGAGGACAGAGCAGCCGGCCAGTCTGGGCCTGGGTCCCTGGGACTCCGTAATTCTCTTCCCAAACCCTCACTGTGGGGACGGGGTACAGATCCCCACCCATCGGCCCCAGCCCCACCCGGGCAAGCCTCTGCTCTGCCCTCTGTTCTCCCAGCTAATCCCCTGTCTTCTCCCTGCCCCACCCTGGCTGCCCCGGCCCAGTGGGGTCAGTGTGGGGCTGGGGAAGCAGGAGGCACGGATGTTCAGGCTGATGGCCACAAGGGGACAAGGGGGAGATCACAGCCTGGCAGTGATGGGAGCCGTGCATTGGCCGGCTGCCCAGACCAGCTCTCGATGTTTGGGGTGTCTCCGTGACAACCCAGAGACCTCCGGGGAGTCTCTCTCAGCTCTGGCCTCATTCCTGCTCAGGGGCTGGGGGTCAGGGTAAACAAAGGCCCTCTCTGCACCCCCAGCCACCCATCCCTCGGGAGATGATCTGTAATGAATTTGGCGCATCCTCGATCACAGCAGGGAAGGGGCGGGGCAGGAAGGAGTTTGGGCAGCAGCCTCCAGAGGAGGAGGGGGCTGTTCTCCCTCATTCCTGTGGGGCATGGCGGGAGCAGGCCTGTGTGTCTCCTCAAGGAGCTGTCCCTGGGGCTACACTGGAGGGACCATTTCCCAGAACCTCACACCTCCGGGAGGCTGCCAGGGCTTAGGCAAAGGCAGCATGTGACTAAGAGCTTTCCCTCCTCCCTCTGCACAGCTCCCCTGGAGAAGGAGCTACCTCCCCACCTGGGGGAACTGACCGTGGCTGAGGAGACCTCCAGCTCTCTGCGCCTGTCCTGGACGGTAGCCCAGGGCCCCTTTGACTCCTTCGTGGTCCAGTACAGGGACACGGACGGGCAGCCCAGGGCAGTGCCTGTGGCCGCAGACCAGCGCACAGTCACCGTAGAGGACCTGGAGCCTGGCAAGAAATACAAGTTTCTGCTCTACGGGCTCCTTGGGGGAAAGCGCCTGGGCCCGGTCTCTGCCCTGGGAATGACAGGTGAGGCTGCTGTGCCTGGCTATAGCAAGCCAGCTTGTGTGGGTTTCCTTGTGCATTTGGGCTGAAGACAAAGATGACTGCAGGAGTGGGCAGGCCGGAGTGGGGCGCCCTGGCCTGTCCCCAGGAAGGAGGAGGAGTCTGCAGCCCTGTGGGCTTCAACATCCATCAAGGAGTCCAGAGCAGGAGCCAGGCCAGGCGGGAGGGAAAGGCCCTGGGAGGGGCTCTCTAATCTCCCAGCCCCGACTCTGCCCCGTCACTGCCGCTGCTCCTCATTACTCGCTGGGGCTGCTGTCGCCTCCCCGAAGGGTGGCCTTGTCCAGATAGCGGCAAACCTCCCTGCCGTGGATGAGTCAGGAGCATTTTCTTAAGAGGAACATCACTGGAAAACAAAATGAGCGGGGACACAGAAACCAACAGCAGTGGCTGCATTTGTGGTACAGGCTCCTCTTCCAGAGCTCGCTGATGCCCACCTCAGACAGGCCTGACCACGGCACGGCTGGTGGGATTTGCCAGTCACCTCAACCAGCCAGTTCCACCCTCAGCTTCTCTCAGAAGGGAGCACCACACTCCTCAAGCTCAGTGAATGTATCCCGGCATGGGTGGGGCCAGAGCCTGTGATATCTCGAGGTGGGCTCGGCAGGACACCGGGGTGTGGAAGGGGGAAGCGAGCACCTGACTCAGACAGCGCGGGAGCTCGCAGGAGTCACGAGGCCACAGCGACTTCATTGTCTGACTGGGCCTGGACCTATAAACTTCCCACCTCAGCCTTGGGCCAAGCCTGGAAGATAAAAATGGAGCACCCCATGGCGCCCCTCACTCAGATTCTCCCCTGGGCTTCTCCCACGCAGCCCCAGAAGAGGACACACCAGCCCCAGAGTTAGCCCCAGAGGCCCCTGAGCCTCCTGAAGAGCCCCGCCTAGGAGTGCTGACCGTGACCGACACAACCCCAGACTCCATGCGCCTCTCGTGGAGCGTGGCCCAGGGCCCCTTTGATTCCTTCGTGGTCCAGTATGAGGACACGAACGGGCAGCCCCAGGCCTTGCTCGTGGACGGCGACCAGAGCAAGATCCTCATCTCAGGCCTGGAGCCCAGCACCCCCTACAGGTTCCTCCTCTATGGCCTCCATGAAGGGAAGCGCCTGGGGCCCCTCTCAGCTGAGGGCACCACAGGTACCACCAGGCGTCTCCGGCCTCTAGCCTAGGACTCAGAAGGGAGAAACGGGGGCTCAGAAGGGGTGGTCGCAGGGAAAGAGCGTGAGGCGGGTACCAGGGAGAGAGGATGGATGGGCTGGATGCGAGTGGCCTTTAGCTCTGCCCCACAGGACCCCCCTGTGGCTGCAAGTCCCTGGTTACAGATAGAGAAACGGGGGCAGGGAGGGGGGTGGAAGGGACGTGCTCTGGGTCACCAAGCTGGTGTGCTTCTGTCTCCAATCCCTTCTCCCCCACCCACTCCGTGCAGGGCTGGCTCCTGCTGGTCAGACCTCAGAGGAGTCAAGGCCCCGCCTGTCCCAGCTGTCTGTGACTGACGTGACCACCAGTTCACTGAGGCTCAACTGGGAGGCCCCACCGGGGGCCTTCGACTCCTTCCTGCTCCGCTTTGGGGTTCCATCACCAAGCACACTGGAGCCGCATCCGCGTCCACTGCTGCAGCGCGAGCTGATGGTGCCGGGGACGCGGCACTCGGCCGTGCTCCGGGACCTGCGTTCCGGGACTCTGTACAGCCTGACACTGTATGGGCTGCGAGGACCCCACAAGGCCGACAGCATCCAGGGAACCGCCCGCACCCTCAGCCCAGGTAAGGACCCACACACACTCTGCCCCAAAGTGGGGGTCTTTGTACTTCACGGGGGGGACCTAGTGCCTCAGCCAGCGGTGGGGGTGGGCGAGTTGGTGGTGGGCCTGGAGGAATCTGCAGAGCGACTTCCATTCCTGGGGACTAGAGGAAAAGGGGTGGTGAGCCTGTGCTGGAGCAGAGGCGAGGGGGGGACTCGTAGGGAGAAGCCTCCCTGCCCCTGCCTGCGTCATTGTTCCTTGACCCCTCTGCAGTTCTGGAGAGCCCCCGTGACCTCCAATTCAGTGAAATCAGGGAGACCTCAGCCAAGGTCAACTGGATGCCCCCACCATCCCGGGCGGACAGCTTCAAAGTCTCCTACCAGCTGGCGGACGGAGGTGGTGCCTTTGCCATGTGCTCATCGCCTCGCATTTCCTCTCCCCCCTGCACTCTGCCCACCCTCCAGCTGCCCTGGGGTTCCCTGGGTAACCCTCGATCCCCAATGTTTTCAGGGGAGCCTCAGAGTGTGCAGGTGGATGGCCAGGCCCGGACCCAGAAACTCCAGGGGCTGATCCCAGGCGCTCGCTATGAGGTGACCGTGGTCTCGGTCCGAGGCTTTGAGGAGAGTGAGCCTCTCACAGGCTTCCTCACCACGGGTGAGATGGACTGGGACCCGGGGCAAGAGGTGGGAGCCAAGAAAACGGCATGGGTGGGAGTTGAGAGAGAACGAGGAGGGTGAAAGGGAGGTGGTGGAGGCTCCGATTGCGGACGGGAGGCCAGTGGAGTCTGGGGAGGCACGGAGTAGAGAGAGCCGCGGGGACCCCTCTGAGCCCCTCCCCTTCCCCCAGTTCCTGACGGTCCCACACAGTTGCGTGCACTGAACTTGACCGAGGGATTCGCCGTGCTGCACTGGAAGCCCCCCCAGAATCCTGTAGACACCTATGACATCCAGGTCACAGCCCCTGGGGGTGAGCAGGGCTGAGGCCTCTGGAGGGGACTTGTTCAGGGTGGGGATTGCAGGGGGGAGGCTGGACTCTGGCCGAGGATGGAGGGGGCAGGCCTTGATGCCCCTCTCTACACTCCCAGCCCCGCCTCTGCAGGCGGAGACCCCAGGCAGCGCGGTGGACTACCCCCTGCATGACCTTGTCCTCCACACCAACTACACCGCCACAGTGCGTGGCCTGCGGGGCCCCAACCTCACTTCCCCAGCCAGCATCACCTTCACCACAGGTAGGGTCTGTGGGGTGTGTGGGACAGGGAGAGGAGGTAGAGGGAGCCAGGTTGGGCCTCATCCCCATCTCCTCTTCCTGCTTTCCCTCCTAGGGCTAGAGGCCCCTCGGGACTTGGAGGCCAAGGAAGTGACCCCCCGCACCGCCCTGCTCACTTGGACTGAGCCCCCAGTCCGGCCCGCAGGCTACCTGCTCAGCTTCCACACCCCTGGTGGACAGACCCAGGTGCCCCGGCCCCACTGACCCAACTCCCCTCCCTGGGTGATTCCAGGAGGTGCTGCCTCTGGCCCTCCCGGAGGGTCTCCACCTCCCTCTCCCCTGACCCCCCCTTGTCTGTCCCACAGGAGATCCTGCTCCCAGGAGGGATCACATCTCACCAGCTCCTTGGCCTCTTTCCCTCCACCTCCTACAATGCACGGCTCCAGGCCATGTGGGGCCAGAGCCTCCTGCCGCCCGTGTCCACCTCTTTCACCACGGGTACCTGGACGCACGGGCCCGGGGCCGGGGGCTGGGTGGGCAGCCAGGGCCTAAGGCTTGGAAAAGGACTGGCCCCTGCTCTCCTCTCCCAGGTGGGCTGCGGATCCCCTTCCCCAGGGACTGCGGGGAGGAGATGCAGAACGGAGCCGGTGCCTCCAGGACCAGCACCATCTTCCTCAACGGCAACCGCGAGCGGCCCCTGATCGTGTTTTGCGACATGGAGACTGATGGGGGCGGCTGGCTGGTGGGTGGCATTGGGAAGCCCAGGGGTCTGTGCAGGGCAGGGTCTGTTGCCCCGGGAGCCAGAGGCTGATGGTGCCCCCACTTGCTTCCCAGGTGTTCCAGCGCCGCATGGATGGACAGACAGACTTCTGGAGGGACTGGGAGGACTATGCCCATGGTTTTGGGAACATCTCTGGAGAGTTCTGGCTGGGTCAGTGCCTCACAGGGACTGGGGAACTACGGATGGGGATGGGGGCCCTGTGGACACCAGGACCCTGATGAGGGCACGTATCCCACCCCCAGGCAATGAGGCCCTGCACAGCCTGACACAGGCAGGTGACTACTCCATGCGCGTGGACCTGCGGGCTGGGGACGAGGCTGTGTTCGCCCAGTACGACTCCTTCCACGTAGACTCGGCTGCGGAGTACTACCGCCTCCACTTGGAGGGCTACCACGGCACCGCAGGTAAGCAGAGGCTGTGAGGCTGGGAGGGTGAGGCTGGGAGGGGAGGCCCTCATGGCTCCTTCCTCCACCCTGCCCAGGGGACTCCATGAGCTACCACAGCGGCAGTGTCTTCTCTGCCCGTGATCGGGACCCCAACAGCTTGCTCATCTCCTGCGCTGTCTCCTACCGAGGGGCCTGGTGGTACAGGAACTGCCACTACGCCAACCTCAACGGGCTCTACGGGAGCACAGTGGACCATCAGGTGAGGGGTGGGGAGGCGGCTCAGAGCTGGGGTGGCTGGGGCTCGGCCTGCCTAGGTTTCAGCCCCACAGTGTAACAGGCAAGGGACTGAGCGGCTGGGTGAAATGGAACAATCATGCCAGCCTCGCAGAGGGAGCTGGAGTTGATTTATTGGCTGGAAAGGGCCAGCTCAGAATTAAGCCTCAATCCTCTGCAGCGGAGGGTCAGGAAGGGAGCTCTGCGGGGAGGTTGGTTGAGTGCTGGGAGCTACCTCCTTAAGGGGAACGGGAAGAGCAGATGGGACATCCGGCTTTGACTCTCTCTTGACAACCCCTTTCCCAGGGAGTGAGCTGGTACCACTGGAAGGGCTTCGAGTTCTCGGTGCCCTTCACGGAAATGAAGCTGAGACCAAGAAACTTTCGCTCCCCAGCGGGGGGAGGCTGAGCTGCTGCCCACCTCTCTCGCACCCCAGTATGACTGCCGAGCACTGAGGGGTCGCCCCGAGAGAAGAGCCAGGGTCCTTCACCACCCAGCCGCTGGAGGAAGCCTTCTCTGCCAGCGATCTCGCAGCACTGTGTTTACAGGGGGGAGGGGAGGGGTTCGTACGGGAGCAATAAAGGAGAAACTGAGGTACCCGGCTGGCATCGGTCCTGCCCCATCACTGGTTCTGGCCTGGGCTGTGGGCCCCCATCCCCCGGGGCTGCAGCCGCACTTGGAAAGGCTGCATCTTGAGGATGACACTGCAGTGGGGCAGGGGCTGCAGGGAGGGCAGGGCGTCCCCGGAGGGCAGCAGCGTGAAGGCCTGCAGCAGTCGGGTCAGCACCACGAAGAGCTCCAGGCGCGCCAGCGGCTCGCCCAGGCACACGCGGGCACCGCAGCCGAAGGCCAGAGCTCTGGAGTTCTTGCCTGGCTCCAGGAAGCGATCTGCGGGCGGGTGGACAGGTGGGTGGGGAGGCGTTCAGCGGCAGCGGGGACCAGCCTCCACCACATTTTCACGGCAGGCCCCCGGCCCCCCACATACCAGGCCAGAACTCATGTGGCCTCTCCCAGACCGTCTCATCCAGGTGGGCGCCTTGGAGGTTCGGAATGATGACTGTGCCCTCAGGGATGTCGTAGCCGGAGATGCTGAAGGGGGCTGGAGTTAGAGGCTGGCCAGGACCTCCCTGGGCTCGGGCTTTCCTCACTCATCCCCAACCCTCGGGAGTCACCTGCTGGGCCGTGTGGTGCGGTGGGGCAAGGCTAAGGGCACAACGGGCCGCAGGCGCAGCACCTCGGCGATGGTGGCATTGAGCAAGGGCAGCCGTGCACGGTCCTTGTAGGGGACCCGGGAGCTGGAGGCACCAGGGCCCAGTTCGTGGTCTAGCTCCTCCTGCAGTCGCTGCTGAATCTGGGGAATGATCGGGTGGAGTCCTGCCCCAGCAGCCCACAGCTGCCCAGCCTCCAGCCGCTCCCTCAGCAACCCAGTGAGCCTGAGTGCCGGTGAGGCAAGCACAGCCCCAGCCGCACAGTGCTCAGAGCTGAGTGAGGGTGCCCACCGCCCTGGCCAGGTTGCTGGGAAGGAGCCTTTTGCTTGTCCCCAGGACGCACCTCAGGGTGGTGAAGCAAAAAAACCACGGCCCAGGAGAGGGTGTTTGCTGTGGTCTCAGTGCCACCGATCAGGAGGTCCACTGCAGCCATGTGCACGTGCCCTTCCAGGAGCTGTCCAGAGCCCTCTTCCATGCTCGGCTGCGCCACCCCTTGGAGCATGTAGTCCATCATGTCCCTCCACTGGCCTGCCACGAGGCTCTCCTGCAGAGGGTGAAAGGAGCGGGCTGAGCGGCTGGCCTGGGGAGAGGAGTACAGAGTGGCAACAGGCCCATAACTGGGGTATGCAAAAGAACCCGCCTCATAGCAATGCTGAGGCCGGTAGCATCACTGGCTGTGGGCCGAGGGGAGGCCGTCCACGTACAGTCCCCACCTTGTGCTGCCTCAGCTGCATCTCCACGATGTGATCCCTCTTCTCTATGGCCTGCTTCAGCCTCCGGAGACCTGGATTGGGGAAGAACTGCGGCAGGAAGCATGAGAATGCAGCTGTGGGAAGGAGCCTCTCCCTCCACCCCAGCCTCTCCCCTACAACCCAGGGGTGTCTAGGCTCCAGGTCCTCACCCTGAGAAAGGGAATCACGTCCACAATTTGGATGGACCAGTGGCTCCAGGTTTTTAACACCTCCTGGATACATTTGTAATAGGCAGGCATTAAGTTGTCGTCCTGCCAGAAAAGGAGGGAGTACTTTCAGTTCAGGACAAGGAGAGGCTCAGGGAGGGGCTGGGGGTGGGCCTGAGGGGCTGTGAGGCACCTTGATCTTGTCTCCGAAGGTGAGGTAACAGATGATGCTGCAGGTGAGGAGAGAGAATTCCTCCTCAATGGCCACAGGGGTGCCGGGCTGGGCTCTCATGCGCTGTGGAGAAACAGTGTGAGTTCAGCAGGCCGCTGTGCAGCGGGCAGGGCGGGGGCTACTGTGAGAGGCGAGGCTGACCCGAGGTGGCCTCAGGAGCCCAGCCTTACCTCACAGAACTCCTGGGTCAGCTGCTCCACCACTGGCTCCATGGAGTCACGGATGCCCAGCAGCAGGGCTGAGCGGGTGAGCTTCTTGTGGGCTTTCCAGAGCAGGGAGTAGTCTCCCAAGGACAGGTCCGGGTAGTTCTTAGACACCAGCTTGTCTGCAGGAGGAGTTGGGGGCTGGAGGGTGGGAACTGATGAAGGCAGCTGAGGGCCTGACCTTCTTCGGC
This sequence comes from Homo sapiens, assembly GCF_000001405.40. NCBI lineage: Eukaryota > Metazoa > Chordata > Mammalia > Primates > Hominidae > Homo > Homo sapiens. The sequence continues at coordinate 3,340,211 of NT_167249.2, read as the reverse complement.
CTCCCCAACCCCTGCTTTCTCCCCACCAGATATGCCCCCCCAAGAGCTTCCAGGGACCTGGATTGGGGATGCCCCAAAGGTGGCTCACACTTGAGGCTGAGGTGGGAGGATCATTTGAGACTAGGAATTTAAGACCAGCCTGGGCAACATAGCAAGAACCCATCTCTTAAAAAAAAATTTGTTTAAGAAAGAAAAAATGCCCCCAGCCCTTACAGGTAAGTGGCTCAGGTCTGCCAGCAAAGTCTGCCCACTTTTTGACCATGGCTTCCTCAATGGTCCTCTTGGAGTTCAGCACCACCACATCTGGGAGACAGCCAAAGCAGCGTCAGCGGAGAGAGGACCCTCTCCGTCACCTCCGCCCCCTCCTATGGTGAGGGCCAGAGCGAGATCAGCCTCTCACCTTGCAGCCCAAGGTGGAGCCTGTAGATGGGCCCGAATTTCTGAGTCAGGCCAAGCAGATAGATTGGGAGGTCGGGCTGCAGCAAGTGCAAGAAGCCCGGGGCAAGAGGCGGGAGGTGGAGGCTCCGGAGCTTCCACCAGTTCCACAGCAGGCGGGCGCCAGCCAGCAGGGGCAGCAGCAGCAGGCCCAGGAGCAGCATGGCGAGACGCCCGTCAGGGCCCTGAGGTGCCACTTATAGCTCAAGAGCCCCAGCCATCCCTCCTGCTGTGTAGACTGTTTTGGGGCCTCCCTTGACCCCACCTTCAGGTACCCTCCCACCGACCCGCCCACAGAGTGGCCCTTTTCTGGAATGACACCAGTCTCATTGGCCTTGGGACGTCCGTATTTCAAAAAAATTGATCACCCATCAAGAAGCAAGGAAGGGAAATGCAACCCTGACCTTTTTCCTGCATCCAGAGTCAGCTTTCTGGTTCCACATCAACTGTGCAGGCAATAGTGTCCGCCCCCACCTGGGCCCTCTCCCTCTGCCACCCCACCGTGGGCCAGTTTACTGGCATGATGTTTGTCTCAGAGAGAAAATGGCAGTCCCTGCCTAATAGGCCTTCCTGAATCGCCTGAAGAACAAAATGTGATTTGTGTGGGTTGTTTGTTAGTTTAAGCTACAGATAGAGTAATACAGTTTAAGCCTGGTTTGCCTGGGGCATTCCAGTATATACAGGTATCCCAGTGTGATTGTTATTAGTGCCTCCTTTCACTCACAAAAGTGCCCAGAAGACAAAGGAGGAAGTGGTTTCCCGCTGCGGAGTAATAGCATGTACCAGACACTGCTCTAAGTGCTTTGTGGGCACTCACTCAACTCTTCACAGCCATGCTCTATATGCAACACGGGTATTGTTCGCATGTTGTGGAGGGCAGGATTCCAGCCTGGAAATCTAGCTGTCGAATATGTACCTTTAGCCACCAGGAGCACCTTTCTTTGGTTGAAAGGAAAACAGCCCACCTTGAGCTGGTTTGAGATAAAAAATAAGAATTGGGGAATTTCACAGAACTCAGGAAAAAGAAGCAGAGGAGGGGACCCCACTGGTCTTAGAAAGTCAAGGATAGGGAACAGAAAAAGCCCCGGAGACGGGCGGTTTCCTCGCTCTGTTCCTCTCTCCTCTTTCTTCTCTCTGCAGTCAAGTTTCTTGTGTTTCCAGGCACAGGCAGAACATGACTGCCCTCAGGACTACAGTCCACAGGTTCTACTCCAGCCAGGGAAAGTATGGATTCCCAGCACAACTGGGCATGCCCCCCTCAAAGTCCAAAGTCCCCAGGAAGGGGCTGGATAGCCACAGCTGGATCAGGATCAAGGGTCCAGCCCTATTTGGGGAACTGAAGCCATAAGGGGTGGGGGTCCCACTGGACTGACACTCAGAGACCACTTTTGTGGGTAAGGAGGCAGTTTGGGGATTTGGGAAGAGGCCATGCCAAAGAGGAGTGGCCGGGTTCAGTGAGAGGCCAGGGCCTCCTGGATGGTACCTGAGAGGTCAGAGGCGACCCAGCCTCATACCTTCCCCCCCATTTCTGGCTCTGTGCCAGACCCTCGGACCAGTGGGGGTCTCTCTCCCCTCAGAGCTTTTCCAGACTGTGCTACTGCAGAGCCAGAGTCAAGACCCTGGCTGTGCCACCCACTACATTGGCGAGTTCGCTGCTGCTGAATCCATGATCAGGACTGAGAGGGAGAAAACAGGATTGGGATTTCTGGGGTTGGGCAATGACAGCTACTGCCTTCTTCATGGTTGACCTCCCAGACCGGGCCATGTCTTGCTGCAACTGAATCCCTGGCTCCGGAAAATGGGCTTATGCCACCACCATGCTGAGCAGCTACTGGGAGAAAGATCTGATGAGCAACCATAGGGCCATGTATGCAAGAGCCTCAGGAAACCTCTGCCACAGTGGGAAAGGCCCAAACTTCTCAAAGTTACGTGGGATAAGACAGTGCTCATCGGAAAGGAGCGCACCTGGAAGGCTGACGTGCTTACTACTTGTCTCACCATCTCCATCTCTTCCACCACTTCCAAATCCAAACTCCGAATGTGGTCAATTACATGCAATGTCCCCAAAGGTACCCTGTCCTGCCCCCGGCCTCTGGGCCTTTGTATATTCTCCTTCTGCCCCAGATGCCCTCATCTACCCCTGCTCTTTGCCTGGCTCCTTCTCAGTCTTCAGAGCCCCACTTGGAGGCCACCTGCTCCAGGAAGCCTTCCCTGTCCCTGCCTGGCAATGCCCCTGACTTGGTTAGATGCCCCACAGGACCACACTGCTCCCTGACATCACATCTTTCACAGAGGGTGGGGACTGCCCGTCCTCTTATCTGTCTCCCCAGCGATGAGCCCTGGAGTGAGCAGCTGTATCTCTGGCACCTGGCACAGGGCATGGCATGAAGTGAAAGATTCCCGAATTTCTGTCGAATGACTGGATGGCAGGCTGCTGAACTGTCATGACCTCTACGGAAACTGATCTCACCAAACTTCTTTGGACAGACGCGGAGTCATCTCTGAAGACCCCAGGTGTGCCACTAAATGGGGGAAAGTTAGGCAGGTCCGGTGGGAAGGGGAGACCCCAGGAGAACAGCGGCTTCCTCAGAGGATTCACAAACACACCAAAGTCAGACTTTTGGCTTGTTTGAAACCAGTAACTGGAAGAAGACACTGCCGGACCTGAGGATTGCACAACTCCGGGAAAGTCACCTCATTCCACTGATAACAGAACCAAGCGTCAGCAGGCTTTCAACAGCCCGGAACTCAGCTAAAATCTGCAGACCTCAGAACCGCCAGCAGCACGAGGACAGAGTCGGGGAGGTGTAGCTGGACAACAGCTCATGAGGCAGAAGAGCTGTGTCACAGGTGTCAGCTGAGCACAAGCCCTGTCTGAGGCCGTGGTGACTGGCGACAGCCGGGCAGTGGAGGGCCTTGGAAGCTGAAGGGTGGTCTTGGCATGGACTCTGGTCCTTGGGGTGCAGGCTCTTGGGTCCCAGTTCTGCTCGGGGTGGTCCTGTGAAGCACTAGACTCCTAGCGGGTCATCTGGGAGGTTCTAGCAGAGCTGAACAGCCCAAGGGTCATCAGGGCTCAGAGAGTCTAAGGTTATGTCAACCTGGCCTGCCCAGAACTGCATCGGGCAGGGGCACTGCTCTCAGCCCTAGCAACACACACTGACACTTCGCTGCCAACACTGACACTTTGCTGCCAAAAGCCTTTAATATGCCCTGGTCCCAGGCTGTGTTCATGAAAGCGGACACAGCAGTGCTTCCAGCTTCATGGTTCCCAGGTTCAGGTTCCTCCCAGCGGAGGTGGGAGGGCAGCCCTCACACCTGGCACCCCTGAGTGCCATACTCCTGGAGGAAGTCGTTGAGCTGGGCACAGGCTGCCCGCTGGCGGGTGCTCCGGCACAGGCGTTCAGAGGGCATCTCCTCGATCCAGCTATTCGAGTCCAGCAGGTACTGGGGGCTGCAGGGGGCAAAGGGGCAGTCAGCAGGGCTCGGGAGGATGGCAGGTGGAAACGGAGAGCACAGGCATCTGGCTTCTGAGGGGCAAGGCCTAGGTGGCGAGGCATGGGGAGGACAAGAGACTGAGGGGACCAGATGACTCACTGTCCCTCGAGGTCATAGGTGGCCCCATCTAGACCCATGATCAAATATTCTTTCCCAGGTTCCAAGCGAAGGCGGCAGGAGGCTCGAACCAGGAAGTTGCGCATCTGATTAGCAGCGGCCTTGACATCCTTGGCTGCGGGGATGACGTGCGCAAAAGTGGTCAGAGGGGAAGAGAAGGTGCAGGGTGAGCCCAGGCTGGGGACTCTGTGTAGATCCTCTCATTCCACCTTCGCCACCCCCATGGAGAGGTGCCACTGCCTCCCTATTTATGGCCAAGCCCAAGGCTTCTGACAGCCCAAGGGGATTTTCACACTTCCAGATGGTCAGGTCCTCGGCCACACCTCAGCCTCCCTGTCTCCCCCCAGCCCTGCCCGCCTCTCCGGTTTGCTTCATACTGAAGTGCAGGACTTGGGTGATCTTGGTCTCAAAGAGGCGGAAAGCAGCTCTGCTGTCTTCTCGGAGAACCTTAACCTGGAAGCCTAAGAGGGGGTGAGGAGAAGGGGGAAAGGTGAGTTACTTTGAGGCTGAGAGGGTAGGAAGTTGGTGTCAGAGCAAACAGGCTGCGTGCATGACCTGTAAGAGGAGCAGGCTACACCCAGAGAGACCAAAACGGCCGGTCCCCGAGGGAGGGTCAGGCCAGGGCCTCGGTGGGAAGACTGACCGTACTCCACACGGGGGTAGTAGCAGGCAAACTTCATCCTGTAGCCATCCTCGTCCTGCAGACCCCGCTCCAGGGCGCGACGCTGGCGAGGGCACTTCCCTGAAGTTGGGGAACCCATCAGACAGTGTGGGGGGGGCCCCGGCCATCCCGCCTCCACTGCCCCGCCCCAGGCCCTCAGTCTCACCCTCAGCACACTGGCAGACTTCAGCAGAACACAAGGTGGCCAAGAGTCTGCTCTTACTTGGTGCCCCGTAAAACACAGAACATCTGCGCTCTGGAGAACAGAGAGGAGTTAGGGCACAGGCCCCTCCATTCTGCCTCCTCAGTCCCAGGGAGCCCCAGGGCTCTCTGCCCCCTCACTACCCCGGTGTCCATTGTCCCATAGGAGGGCACCTATGCCAAAGTTCTCCTGAATTTCAGGGTGTCCTGCAGTGCTCACCGGGGTTGTAGTAGTCGTACAGGGTTGCGCTGGCCGGCTGCACCAGCCCCACCGGCACTTCCTGCACAGCCTCAAAGCCCACGCACTCCCGGGAGGTGGGGACCTGGCCAAGCGTGGGGAGGAGAGATGAGGGACCCACTCCCTGGGCCCTGCAGCCCCCTGTACTGGGTTTCCTTGGCCTGTTTTTGTTTGCTTCCTATTGGCCTTCTCTCCAGTGTCCTTCACATTCTGTTACCTTCCTACTCAGAGAACTCTCAAAGCTGCTCCGCAAGGTCTCTGGTGACTTCACTTCCCAGAGGGTGACCTTGCCCCAGTCTTCACTGCTCCAGGCCCTCAGCAGAGTCTTGCATCATGGACGTGTTCTCTGTGAAACTGTCCCTAAGCTAAGGGTTAGCTTCTGGACCACCCTTGGTTCTGACCTGGTCATTTCTTACGTTCCCTCCTTCGGAACTTCCTTCCTCAGAGCTCCCCTGTGGGGGTCTCAACCACTCCCTGGCTTCCACCAAACCAATCCAGGCTGATGATTCCCAAACTGAACTTGCAGCTCCATCCTTGCATTAGGATTGTGGCAGGACCTGTAAGTTCTCCAAGGCACTCTGCCTGCCCCCAAACCCACTCGCCCTCCTCGCGGCCTCATCTTTGTCATGGATACAACTGGGTCCTCCTTTATTTGCCACAACCTAACTGCAGGTTCTGTCATCCTGCCTGACCCCCCGACTCAGGTCCCAGGCCTGACCCCTCCTCGTGCCCACGCGGGCCCAGTCCACACGGTGCCGTGCCAGTGTCCCTCCTGAGCTAGGCTGCTGCACCGTCAGCTCCCTATCCGGGAATCTTGTTGGCTCTGTGTTTTCTATTGTGTTCAACCCAGATGTGTCAGCCAGGCTTCCCCAGCTGATGGGGGCTGGCCCCTCTGCACACACTGGGTAGGGGTCTCCCTGACCTACAAACAGCTGGCTAATGACAGCCACCACACCTTTCTCACATTTTCTCCCAGAGGTTACAGTAAATGTTCCAAAACTTTTTTTGAAGGCCGGGCATGGTGGCTCTGGCCTGTAAATCCGGTACTTTGAAAGGCCTAGGCCAGAGGATCGCTTGAGGCCGGGAGTTCAAGACCAGCCTGGGCAACAGAGCGAGACCCTGTCTTTACTAAATAAATAAATAAAAATGTTTTGAGAGCCGTAAGAGGGTTGATAACTATTTTAGCCAAATAAGGTCGTGAAAAGACAAATACAACTATCATCTATGGCCACCATCACTTTGTAAAGGAAAATACGCTTTAATATTAAAAAAAAGATAGGAAGTTCAACAAAAAAACAAAGGCAGCCCCTCAAGCTGAATAAAACCAGCATTAGGAAAGACTCCCTCTCAAACCCTGAGGGTCCCTGCTGACTGGCATCGGTCCCTGCCGCCTGCAGGTCTGCCCCTTACTCTGCTGTGTCTCACGGGCTCACATTCTTGTCCTTCTCTCTGATGACATCACAAGTTCTCAAGAGCACCAGCCGCTGACACAGCTGTCTCCTGAGAAACCTCCTAACGCATACTCAGTAAACCCGGTGCCATCGAGTCCCTTCCTGCCTCATCTCTCCCCACTCACCGAGTCAAAATACAGCAGGACGTGGGGCCCCTCGGTCTCAAAGTGACTCACGTAACGGTCAGAGAGGGAGGTCAGCTGTGGAAAAGGGGAGTTGGTCACAGGCCCTGCACATGACAGGGCTCAGTACCTGGGACAGAGGGGGTTGCCCTGGGTGGCTGACCACACCTTCTCCAGGTCAGCACGCAGGGCGTGGAATCCACTCAGGAGGGTGACGTCCGCGATGGCCATGCCAGACAGCCCCACCTTGCCGTTCCGCCTGTGGAGACGTGTGAGCTGTCGTCCAGGTTCTGCCTGCGCGGGCTCCAGAAGCCCAGCCCCAGCCTGGGTCCTGCCCTCCCTCCCCTGGCCCAGGGCAGCTCCCGGCGCCCACCAGATGCACACGGTGTAGTGCACCCTGGACTCCTGCTCCTCCACCACCTTGGGCGCCTCCCTCCTGCGGCGGTTCCTCCGACCCTCAAACAGCTGCAGGGGTGTCACGGGCTGCAGAGGGGCATCTGGGTCATCCTTGGCTGGAAGCTCATCGTACTCATAGTCCTCATAGTCCTCGTTTGCTTCCACTGCACAGGGAAGCATTGTGAGGAGGGCTGGGATGGCCACCCGGCTCCCTGCGCCAGCCCCTGCCTGGCCCCAAGGCCTCCCAACCCCCACACTCACTCGTGTACTCGACGTGGCCTTTGACTGTCACTTCTATCTGTAGGTCCTGGCAGGTCGTGTTCTTCATGTCCAGGACATTGTAGGTACGAAGGACCTGGCTCAGCAAGGGGCAGGGAGAGGACGTGGGACATGTGAGGCCACAGACCTCTCTGGTGCCATACCTAAGGGCATCTCCCTGGGCTACAGGATTTGAGGCCTTCAGCCCCTTTTCCTCCCCGTCACTGCACAGTCCACACACACGAGTGGCACCACATTCGCCACAGGCGTCAGGCGAGACAGAGAGGTAAAGAAGCAGGGGCCTGCCCCCAGAGGCCAACACTCCAGACTGTGCTGGGAAGAGGCTGGACTGAAAAGCTCAGGAAAGGCTTCTGGCCAAGGCTTGAAGGAGAAGAAAGAGCTTGTCCTGTGGGCCAAGAAGCAGGGAAGGACAGGAAAGGCAAGGGGATCTGTGTAGACAAGGAGAGCTGTCTGGCCGGAGGGGTGGGCAGAGGCCCAGCCATCTGAGCCGTGGGCAGCGGGGAGTGACTTTTCCCCAAGGCTGATCTGGCTGGGGCTTTTGGAAGGTCAGTGTCACTGCCGTGTGGACAGTGGATCAGACAGGGGAGACAGGAGGTAGAGAGAAGTTCCAGGTAGGGAGAAGGCCGTCTCAGCACAGAATCTAGGATGCAGCACCAAGGGCCACAGGCAGCAGGGGAGCAGAGGAGGAGTCACTAGGGACATAAGGACAGGCTTGGGAGAGGGGCCACTAACACGGCCTCTAGAGTAGTGGCTGGGCTCCTGGCTGGGAGGGGCTCCCACCAGCCAGACAAGAGACACAGAATGAAGAAGGGCTTTGGGACATGCCTCGTCTGAGGTGCTGTGGGAGTGGGACGAGTGGGGCCCATGGTTCAGGGAAGAGGCCTGGGCTGAGGAGTGGGATTCGGAGCCACCAGCACTGAGGCGGGTAAAGGAAACAACAGGTACCCAGAGATGGGGAGAGCAAGCGAAAGCAAGCAGGGGGAAAAACACCCAGGACGGAAGCACGGGACACCAACCCTGAGGTGTCTGCCTCCTTCCCCGGACCATGTGCCTCTGCCCACAGGCCTCTCACTCCACACCCTCTCCTCCACCAGTGCCTGGCCCCACCCCTTCCCTGGCCCTCACCTTCAGGGTTCCTTTGCTGTTTCCTCCCACCTTCACATTGATCTTGCTGCCCAAGGAAAACTTCAGCAACAGAAAAGGGAAGGCGATGTTAGAAGGGCACAAGCAAACCTGTTTTTGCGGCTCCAATAACTTATCTCCTTCCTCAAAACAGCCCCACCTCCTCTCCCCACCTCACATTTCCACAAAGTTTATACCAGCACATGAATTATCTCACTTCAGCCTTCTAACGACCCTGTAGGGTGAACTCTGTGTATGTTACTCTACAAGTGAGAAAACTGAAGCTCAGAGCTCCAGGTCACGCAGCCAGGAAGTCAGTCTTCCCCCGAAGACCCCAGGAAGAAGTGCTGCGGGGATTCCACGGGTGGGAGGGTGGGGACGGCTTCTGGCCTGGCCACGAGGCCCAGGTGTCCTGGCTACCCAGGCGAGGGAGTGGTTCACCAGGGAGTGGTTCACCTGCAGCTCCTCCTCCAGGCCGCGAATCTGGCGGTTGTTCAGCTGCAGCGCGTGGGACTTGAACCCATTCCGGCCTGTGGAGCTGAGAGTCACATTGAGACCCCTCTCCTCAGTGGTGTGGGAGGCAATCCAGTAGGCAGACAGGGCATCCAGGGCAATCACCGTGTCCTAGGGAGGTTGAGCCAGGACTCAAGCAAGCCCTTGGTCTGAGGACTACCCACCCCCGCCAGAGCCCGGGGACGGCCCCTACTTGGGTACTGCGGAATCCCCCTTGGAAGCTGCCCTGACGGGTGAGCCAGGCCGCAGCCTGGTCTGCCATCTCTGCTTTGCCCTCGTGAAGCAGGAGGTGCAGCAGGGCGTAGGCTGTGGTTTCAATCCACAGGGCTGGGGCCTGGGGCATGGGGTCGGATGGGTTGCGAGGAGCTGGGGTGGGCGACACGGCATTGCTCTGAGAACCAGTGACTGAGCCCCAGTACAGGTTATCTGAAAGTGAAGGGAGACCACGAGTAAACAGGAAGGCAGGGAGAAGAGCCTGGTCCCCTGGCCCTTAGCCACCCCCTGCTGGGCTCTCCTGAGTCTCCCCCAACCCACCCCTGCTTATAACTTCATTCCTCCTCTGAGTCTTCATCCAGCCTCTCCCTCTGGGCACACTCAGGGATCCTAAGGTCCCCTGGGCCTCAGGCTCACTGCCAGGAGCGCCTCACCCCTCACCTCCAGTCTCCTGGGCCATTGCCATGAGGTTGTTGTGGGCAACACCCCGCAGGTCCGCAGGGGCCTTGGTCAGTGTCAGGGCATAGGCCGTGATGGCAGCTGCGTGGGCACCCAGGAGCCCAGCACTTGCTTTCTCCCCCAAAAATGAGCTTGCCTTTGAGATGGAGGCTTCCTGGAAGAAAACGGGAGGAGGGTCTTGGGCCTGGACCCCTGGGTTCCTGAGGAAAAAGGGAGAGAGCTGGGGGCCAGCAGAGGGCAGAAACGCCACTGAACTTACCACTCTCTGCTTCAATGGCTCTGCACCCTCATCCTGGAAGACGGCCAGCCCATGATGAAGGGCGATGGTCACAAAGGCTGTGAGTGCCACAGTCTCATCATTGCCCACCAAACCCCCCTAGTAAGGGGAGAAAAGATGTCAAACAGGAGGGGGAAGGGGCAAAGAGAGTCCTCCGACAGGCGCTTCTCGGGCCAGCCCCAGCATGCCCGCACCTGCATGCTCCTATGTATCACTGGAGAGAGGTCCTGGAACGAGCCGTCAGCCTGCTGCTGGGACAGAAGCCAGTTAGATGTCTCCTGCAGTTTCTCAGGCGAGCCTCCTACCTGCTCCTGGGCCAAACTCAGGACCTTCAACACAAAGGCTGTGAGCCTGGAGGGCAGGAAAGGAGGGTTGGGGATAAGGACTTGCTTCTCATTATGCCCACGCCCCCAGGTGCCTGGTTATCCACCCTCCCATCATACCAGCTCTGTCCCACCCCTGCCCCAGCCCTGACCCCCTCAGAACCCTGGAACCACTCTCCCAAGCTCACCAGGTGCTGCTGCCCCGTGACAACCAAGCCGCATAGGAACCATCCGCCTTCCGAAACTGCTGGATCCGCATGTAGCCTTGGAGAGGAGAGGTGGCCGCTCAGGTGACACTCACCCTTCTGCTGTTTGAGCCCAAGGCCATGCTCCCCATCCTCATCAGGGGCCCCCTTTCTTTCCCTCTGTAGCCTCCTGGGCTGTCCATCTTCCAGTAACTGTCCTTTCCTGGCCCCCCTCCTGCTTGCCCTTGCACCCAGAACCTTTCTGGATCAGATCCACGGCGTGGTCCTTGGTCTCGGGAGGCAGTGTGCTCCACTGCTCTGTCTTGTCCAGGTAGCGGGAAGCAGCCAGTGTCGGAGCCAAGTAGATCATGGTTTGCTCCCCACAGCCTCGAGGAAGCCTCAAGAGGGAGGCCACGCCTCCTGGTGACAAGGCCCCCTCAGAGCCTAAAGTGTCCAATGGATCTGAGGCTACATGGGAGGGAGAGGGTGGAGGTCTGAGGACTCTGTGTCAGAGGCTCACGGGGAGTGGGACCAAGCAGGGATCCACAGGTCCCACATGAATCCGAAGGTGGCCACTGGGAAGGGACTAAAGGGCACTCCCACCTGTAACCCTGACGTAGCTGTTAAAGTCCCCATCAGGGATCATATTGGGATCAGAGTTGCCAGGTATTTCCAAGGTCCGGCCTCGGTGGTCTGGGGAAATGGGGGAAGTTGGCAGCCTGTCCTGCTGTCCACATCCCCCACCACCTGTACCCACTTAGGAAACCAATGGCTGGAGGTAGAGGGTCACTCACCCAAGGGGTTGAGTTCATAGACCAGCTCCTCTCTATGGATGGCCCCTTCCTTCTGTCTCAGGGAAAACATGGTTGTGAGGTCACACAGGACTACAGCCTGCCCTGCTAGCGCAGACTCCCCCAGAACTTTGAGTTTCAACTCCAGGGACAGAGTTGGATCAGAATTGTAGAAGATGGGAACAGACCAAGGCATTGGTTCGGGTGTTGGGCCCCTGGCCTGGCCAGCAGAGAGAGTGCTGAGGGTGGAGGACAAAGCTGGGGGCCCGGGGACTTATATTCAGGGGTGCTCCATTCACCTCAATCTGCAGAACCTTGGACACCGCATCTCCCACAGGGAATTCGAAGGACCCTCGAGCCACCACCTTCAGAGACACAGCGGCGGCTGCCGTGGGCACCACAGAGAAGGCAACAGGCCGGGCAGAGCCCGCAGGCACCAGCACCTGCTGGGCCAGCCCTCCGCCCCCAGCCAGGCACAGCCCCTCCACTGGGGACACGTGGACGCTCACCTGAGGGCAGGAAAACGAGGATGGCCAGAGTCCTGGCCCGGTTAGCCTCCCCACCCCTCACTGGGCCCTGGCTCCCCCAACTCCTGTATGCTCAGGCTCCCATGGGGCCTCACAGTCAGGTTTTTATCCAGGTAGTTATAGAGGACAGGCCGCAGCTCCAGCTGCTCAAAGCGGCGGACAGACATGGGCAGGCGGAGGTGCAGGTGGAACTCGCGGAACACCCGGAGCTGGACTGGGGTGGCCACACATAGGCCTGAGGGAAAGGAAGCGTGGGCACAGGGGCAGAGATTAGAGGGGCCATCAAAGCTTCAGGGCCACAGGAGGGAGGGGTGGGGGTGACCCAGCTCTGTCTCAGTCCGCCTCTGCCCTCTGGCCCACGCCAGCTGCACGCTGGCACAGACCTCCCCAGATCACTGGACCCTCTTCCTACACTAAGAGCAAAGGGAACAGGGAGCTGGGGTACAGGGAAATGGAAGCAGGGTCACCTGAGGCCCAGACAGGGTGACATCACCTTTGGTTTTGGACAGGCTCAGGCCATGGATCTCCCACGTGGTCAGAGAGTCGGGGAGCCACAGTGTCAATCTGTGTAGGGAAAGGCAGAGAAGGCCCGTCTACCCCGGCTGGCCCCGAGACACAGCACAGAGAAAAGGCCGGGCCGGCACACACTCTCACATTTGAAAGCGGTCCACTGTTTCCACTCTCCAGAGCCAGTTCTCTGGGAAGAAGCTGCGCACGGGAATGTCATCCTCATCAATCAGGTCCTCCTCCTGCAGGATCTCCAGGGCTGGGGGACCACGGTGGACGGGAGTGAGGAGGGGACCGTTCTGCCTTTCCAAGCGCCGCCACCTGTGCCCTAGCCCCACCCAGCCCCTCACCTCGTTGGAGGCCCGCCTGGCCCTTGTCCCTGCTCTTCTTGCGCAGACTCTCAGCAAATTGGCAGCAGGACAGGAAGGGCTCCCGGCAGTCCGGCTGCTGCACGCGGGCTGCCCGCTGCTCGCAGGAACGCATCATGGGCAGACGTGTCACCCCATCCTGGCAGCAGCGCTTGGCTGTCGGGGAAGCATACTGACCCACTGCAGGGCCAGGTGGGGGTGAGCATGAGAGGACAAAAAGGACATACACCTCAGCACCCGCCCCGACCCCTTGAGACCAGCAACATAAGAGAGGCTGCTGGAGAGAGCTGCCCACCTTCCACTCGTAATCCCGGAATTCGGATCTCTGGCCCCAAATACCACACGTGGGTTCAGCAAGGAGCCGAGGGGCAGAGAGGCAGACCCCCAACCCGGATCCCAGGTGGAGAGCCCAAGCTACTGCCTAGGCACCCGCAACTCACATTTCTCATTAATCGCCTTTTGGAAGTTCACGTTTCTCTTTTTCCGGGTTGTCTTCTCCTTGGGACAGCTTAGTCCTGGTAGAGAGAAAGGCTGCAGTCCAGCCGTCAGGCACTCGGCCTCCTCCCCTCCTCCCCTTCCCCTGCCCAGCCCTTCCTGCCCGGACTCTTCCAGCTGGTCCCCTCAGGCCCTTCCTCCTTCCTTATCTTCCCGCCACCCACTCCCCTTCCTTCTCTGTTCTCACTCTTTCTGGATAAGGTCCACTGGTCTCCATCAGAAAAGGCCAGGCCCGCTGCCTGGAACACCTGAAGGGCACTGTCCCCACCCCCAGGACCACAGCCGAGGTCATAGCTGTTCATAGCTTCAAAGACCTGCAAGAAAGGCAGGAATGCTAGGAGCCAAGTGTGGCTGAGGGGCAGGACTGAGCACTCGGCACAGGTGAGAGGGCAGCACATGGGGGGATAGGAAAGGATACAGAGCCAGGAGATGGAGACCACAGGGCCAAGTGGGGAAGAGACTGTGGGGAGCCTCAGTGGGATCCAGGGGCTGCGCCCAAGGCTCAGGGAAGCAGGGGGATGAGCCATGGAGGGGTGAGAGAGCTGTGGAGAGGGTCTGGACAAACCTTGCCCATGTTGAGGGGCTTGTGGGACTTGCTGCCTGCAGCATACAGAGCTGTGTCCAAGGCTCCCAGCGCCACCAGGGCTAGGGAGTCGGTTTCTAAGTGGAGCTTCACGGACTCCCCGTTCCGGTACTGCTTGGCACCGTCCACGCTGAGCTCCAGCTGGCAGGGGCGGCAGGTGGGGGCGGTCAGAGTGGGAGAGCTTCCTTCAGTCCCGGTATCCTCACTGCCCCCAAGCTAAATCCATGCCCTGTTGGCAATCACCCTGTCCTCAACCCCCTCGGCACAAGTGCCATCTCTCCTGACCCCGGTCACCTTGCCCTCGCAGGCCCCAGCCTGGACATCCACTCGCAGGGAGTTGGCCACTGGGTGGTCTCCATGGTAGTAGAAGGCCACAAAGTAGAAGGAGGGTGCCAGGTGATGGTCCACAAACACCGAGACCGAGGTCAGGGTCCTCTTGGGCTCTCGATTCATGAACACGATCTGCCCTCGGGATAGGATCTGGGCCAAGAATGGGAGGGACAAGAGTGGTTGCCTCTTCATGGGACAGCCTCAGCCTTGAACCCCCCCAGCCCCACCCAGAGGGCTCTTCCCTGCACCCCAGCCCTCCGTGACTCCCCAGCTCATGCACACCATGTAGTAGTAATGAGAAAAGGTGGCCCCACTGCCCACGGCTCGCAAGTTCAGGTTCAGAGTGTCCCCAACACGAGGAGGTCGAGAATCCGGCCGCTCAATAGACAGAAACCCGGGGCCTCCTGAAGGTGGGGCTGCCACAGTGAGCCTGGCTATCGCTGGATGTGGGGAGCCTGCAGATACCTGGAGAGGGGGTCAGGTGCGAATAGGGTAGTAGCTCAGAGCCAAGTACCCCACCTTCCCCCCAAGTCAGGCCATGGATCCTTGGGACCCCAGCTCACCCTCCTCCCCTTCCCCCACCATCTCCCAGGGGTCCGAGGAGTCCTACTGAGAGCTGCAGCTCTGAGATGGTCTGAGGGATAATTATTGGAATGCTGACTTGGCCGCTCCCGTCTGTGTTTTGCTGAATGTCCTGGACTTCAGGAACAGACCCAGGAGAAGACACCGTGGCAGAAACTTTGACAGGAATGCCAGAAGCTGGGGAGCCTGACATCTCACGGACCAAGGCCTAGGCAGGTAAAGGAGGGCAGGCAAAAGAGAGTGGTCAGACCCTGAGCCCTCCTAACTACCACATCCTCCCTACTCATCCTTCCCCTCTGGAAGAAACCTGCAGCAGGAAGGGGGCCCCAGGCACAAGGTGTCGCTTGGTCTTGCTAAGATCCAAGGAGAAGGGAGATGACACAAAATACCAGGATGTGAGCTCTGCCTCCTCCATCTCCCCACCTGCAAGACAAAGGACAGAGAGAGGTGGGGGACAGAGCCCAAGAAGAGAGGGACAGGAGGACAAGTGGGGAGTGGCTTGAGTGGTTCCCTCCCACAAGACAGTGAGCTCCCAGGGCACAGGCTGCCGTATTCCTGTCTGTGTTGGGAAAAGGACTTGTGGGGTGCCTGTATAAACTGGCCATAAAAATATGGGACAATAAGTTGTGGAAAGCCACAAGAGGCCTCTGAGGAGAAAAGCCTCCTAATTGCCATGCTCAGAGCGAGACCTGCTCTCTCTTATCTGTAAACACTGTATTCAAGGAGAAAGACCCTCCTTTGAAGCATTGGAATGTGGACAGACGTGCAGGCTCCTAGTTAAGCCCACTCCCACTAGCTACTCTCCGATAAGTTAAAGATATGCTGTTTGAGCACAAAGGAGATTCATTTAAAGCGCTTCTGCTGTAGATTATGCCTGTGACGCACTGCTACCCTTTCACTGTTTTGCCCTGAACATCTGCTTCTTAGATCTAAGTTATTGTACTCAATAAATAGTGTGGAGACCAGAGCTCTGAGCCTTTTGCAGCCTCCATTTTGCAATTGGCCCCCTGGCCTCCACTCTTTATGAACTCTTAACCTGTCTCTTCTCATTCCTTTGTCACCACCAGACTTCAGGTACCCTACAGGTGGTGTTGAGGCTGGTCCCCAACATTCTGGCGCCCAACGTGGGGCCCAAAAGAATCTGGTGAGGAAACGCTCAAGCATGTGAAACAGAGGACCAACGAACAAAGGACTCCCAAGGACATAAAAGTTTTAACCTCTACAGGTAAGCGGGGCGCCCAGAGAAAGCTAGGGACACAATGGGAAAAACTGAAAGTAAGTACACCACGTATTTGAGCTTCCTACGGCAGCTCTTCAAGCATGCATGGTGGGGTAAAAGTTGATACGGAAAATCTTATGGATTTGTTTCATGCTATGGAACAATTTTGCCCTTGGTTCCCAAAACAGGAAACTTTGAAATTAAAACATTAAGAAGGAGTTGGAAAGGACCTTAAAAGAGCATATAGAGAAGGAAAGGAAATTCCTTTGCCTGTTTGGTCGCTTTGGTCATTGGTGCATGCAGCACTGGAGCCTTTTCAGACAGATAATGAGGCTGAGTCAGAGGAGGAGAGAGAGGAGTTTGATAATCAGAACTCTGAACCACCTCTACCGAGTACTAACAAAAAGGAGAGTCTGAAGATGATTTATGCCAATCTCCCCAGTCTCCCTAAACCTACTCAAAAAATTGTTCAGCCCACGGTTCCTGTAGAGAAATGTCCAGAATGGCCACCTCCTCCTCAGCCGAGTGGGTGCAGGGGGAGGGAGCCCGAGACTTGGCTCACCGTGCCCATTATTGCCCGACCCACAGTTCATTATGGAGATGGGGCAATTCAGGTTCACCCTACAGTTATTACAGTGAAGGAGCAATTTCCCTTAAAATGGATGACCCGGCGCCCCGTCTGGGTTGAACAGTGGCCGCTCCCTAAGGAAAAGTTGGGGGTGCTTTATAAAATAAACTACTAAAAAAAGGATATATTTCACCCACTTTCTCTCCTTGGAATTCCCCAGTATTTGTAATTAAGAAAAAGTCCGGTAGATGGCGTCAACGCTGTAATTCAACCGATGGGAGCCTTACAACCTGGGCTCCCATCCCCCACTGTGCTCCCTAAAGACTGACCGCTTGTTATTATAGATTTAAAAGACTGCTTTTTTACAATTCCTTTAGCAGAGGCAGATTTCAAAAAATTTGCCTTTACCATTCCTGCCGTTAATAACAAAAAACCTGCAGCCAAATATCATTGGAAAGTTTTGCCCCAGGGTATGTTAAATAGTCCCACAGTTTGTCAAACTTTTGTAGGCAGAACTATCCAGCCTGTTAGAGATCAGTTTCCAGATTTGTGCAGCAAAAAGTAGAGACCAACTTATTCAATATTATTAATCTTTGCAAAAGACAATTACAAATGCTGAATTACTTATAGCACCTGACAAAATTCAAACAACCACTCCTTTTCAGTATTTGAAAATACAAGTACAGGATAGAGCCATTAAGCCTCAAAAGGTTCAAATTAGAAGAGATTCTTTCAAAACCTTAAATAATTTTCAAAAATTGTTAGAAGATATTAATTGGATTTGGCCCAATTTAGCAATTCCTACTTATGCTATGTCTAATCTCTTCTCAATATTGAGGGGAAATACCAACTTACGCAGTAACAGAGAACTAACACCCGAGGCCATGAAAGAGTTATCAGTAATTGAAAACAAAATTCAGCAAGCCCAGGTCAGTAGGATTGACTCAGACTTGCCTTTATAATTCATTGTGTTCCCTACTTCACACTAACCACACAATAATGGGGGTTATTGTTCAAAATGATGATTTAGTTAAATGGTCCTTTTTGCCACATAATACCATAAAAGCACTTACAGTATACTTAAATCAGATGGCAATTCTAATTGGACAGGCTCATATATGAATTATTAAACTTTGTGGCACTGAGCCCAATAAAAATTATAGTTCCAATAAATAAAAATCAGGTTAAACAGGCATTTATTAACTCAGTTACATGACAGATTAATTTAACAAAATTTGTTGGATGTATTAATAATCATTATCCTAAAAACTTTTCAATTCTTAAAATTAACTACATAGGTTCTTCCAAAAATTACTTGTGATGCCCCTTTGGAAGGAGCCATAGCTGTTTTTACTGGTGGGTCTGGTAAACATGAAAAAGCAACAGTCTGGTGGAGACCACATAATCCAATCACTTGATCTGAATTTACTAACATTCAGAGAGCTAAGGTTATTCTGTGTATTTATTTAAAAACTATTACAGCCTTAAGTTTGCTCTGGAGCCCACTCTGTGTGGTCTTTTTCTTCAACTTCAACAATTACTAGACCAAGGTACACATCCTACTTTTATTACACACATTCGAGCCCACAGCTCTCTGCCTGGCCCATTGGCTTACGGCAATAATCAAGCAGACCTTCAGGTTATGACATCACTGCTTGACCAAGCCACCCAATCACATCGATTATTCCACCAAAATTGGAGAAACTTATCTAAATAATTTCAACTTACACAGAGGCTGGCTAAACAAATTATCCCACAATGCCCAGATTACCAGCTCACAGGCACATACCCTCCTTCAATAGGTGTTAACCGTAAAGAATTGGAACCTAGTCAGTTCTGGCAAACAGATGTTAAACACATCCCTAAATTTTAAAAACTAAAATATGTACATACATCCATTGTTACCAACACTCATCTAATTATTACACATTTAAAAAAATAAAAGTAAAAAAAAGACTAAGACAAAAATCAAAAAAATACAAAAAAGTAAAAAAATTTAAAAAGTTATAAAAATGTACCTTTAGTAAAAAAATTATAAAACATAAAAAGTTAAGACATGTTAAAAATTGTCTGTAAAAGTCATAAAAAAAGTTATAAAAAATTTATATAAAAAAGGTTGTTTAATTTTGTTTTAAAGATCTAAACAAGTTTTAAAATGATAATTGTAAAAAATTCCGTGTGTAAACGTATTTACTAAAGTTAAAAAGATATCATCCAGTTTTCTATAAACTAAACATTAAAATAAAACACAAGTTTTTCTTAAAACACTAACCTGCTCTTTAAAAATTGTAAAAAGTCTCTTAACACAGACGCCACTCCTAAAATTTCCAGTACCAGCCTAAAGACTACATCCTCATCAAAGGATAAAAAATTAAAAAATAAAAAAACATTTGAACCAGCCTAAAAAAGACCCTACAGGAACTACAGCCTCAACAATGCGACTTCCACAAACAACACAGGCCTCAGACATTATACTAAAAAAACAAAAGTCTAAGCCAAATAATTTATTCATTTTTAATTCTCTCACTTTGCCTACTACCTATACCTGCTACACTGTATTAAGCTCGTATCTTAAATCCGCCTTTCTTCTGCCCTGTTACTTTAACAAACACCCCCTTCTCAGCTTCTAATAACATAACTGCTTAGCTAGAATAAATTAACATACCCCCAGTGGGGTTCCTCATTAATAACATATAGTAAACTAAGATGCCAAGTAACACTACAGGTCACTCTTTTACTAAAAAAAAAAGTTACTAATTATACTCATGTTTGTCTTCTGTTATTTACTAATCCTAGAATACAAAGCCAAAATAAAAACAGTGACCTCCTCGCCTAACAAACCTGTGGCTACAACAGCCCAAAATTATACCTATTGGGCATGTGTCCCATTCCTGCCTTTAATTAGGCCTGTCACATGGTTAAAACCCCCAGTTGAAGTTTATGTTAATAATAGCGTTTGGATCCCTAAGCCTACAAATACTCATGGGCCCTCTCACCCAAAGGAAAAAAAAAAAAGTTAATAAATGTGTCCATAGGTTATCAGTTCCCCCCTCTTTACATAAGGCCAACTATCGGTTGCCTAAAAGGCTACCGACAACATTGACTAGTTAAAATTCCAGGTCATAATCAAAGACCAGTATCCTATCATTTATTTTCTGGATGGAGCCCGGATCATTCACAGAGTTCAATTCAATTAACAGTTTAAGCCCCCAAAAAAGAGGTGCCAACAACCTTAACAATGGTCAAATAATTTAAAAATATTAATTAAAAAAAATTACATCTCTGATCACACTATGGTACTACAAAATAATTCCTATGAAATTGTCATTAATTGGTCCCCTGAGGGGACCTTTACAGTTAATTGTACCCATCAAAATAATAAATACAAGACAAAACTAAAACAGAAACTATACTATCAAAAAGGTAACACTACTTACACTGAAAAACGTGCTCATTTTCCCATAATTTGGACCAATTTTAGTACAGCTGGCCCACATCCCAAAATAATTAATCCAATAATAGGCCCTAAACACTCCAAATTATGAAAGTTAATAATGGCCCAATCTCATATTTAAGTTTAGAAAAAAATATATTATCTTTAAAAAAAAAAGGTTAAAAACTTCAATTTGCGTATCAGTTTTCTTCCAACAAAACAGTGCCCATTCAGAGTTGTGTCAACCCTCCTTTTATGTTAATGGTCAAAAATATTGACATTCGACCTAATTCTCAAACTATTACTTGTCAAAACTGTCACCTTTTCACCTGTATTAATTCCACGTTCGGTGTAAAAACATCTGTGTTACTGATAAAAACTAAGAAAGGAGTTTGGATACTGGTTTCCCTCAATAGACCTTAGAAAGCCTCTCCTTCCATTCATATTGTCACAAAAATGTTTTAAAAAAAAGTGTTTACCAAAACAAAGAGATTTATTTTTACCCTTATAACAGTCTTATGGGCCTTATTGCAGTCACAGCTACTGCTGCGGCTGCTGGAATTGCTTTACACTCCTCTGTTCAAACTACAAAATATATAAATAGTTAACAAAAAATTCCTCAAAATTGTGGAATTCTCAGACCCAAATAGACCAACAATTGACAAATCAAACAAATGATCTTAGACAGACTGTTATTTAAATGGAAGATCGTACAATAAACTTAAAACATCAATTAGAAGTACAATGTAATTGAAATACTTCCAATTTCTACATAACTCCCCATTCGTATAATACTACTAAACATCATTTTTAAAAAGTTAGACATCATCTAAAAGAAAAAAATAAAAATTTAACATTAAATATAACCAAATTTTAAAAAAACAGGTTTTTAAAGCATCTCAGGCTCATTTAACCCTCCTGCCTGAGACTGACATTCTCATTGGAGCTACTGACGGACTTTCAAACATAAATCCTCTTAAACAGATTAAGACCATTAAAGGATCAACTATTACAAATTTTACTTTAATGTGTATCTGTTTATGCTGTTTACTTTTAGTCTACAGATGCAAAAGACACTTCTGAAAACAGACCAAACACCACAAATAAGCCATAATAGCAATAGCGGTTAAAAAAAAAAAAAGGGAGGGGGGCATGTTGGGAAAAGGACTTGTGGGGTGCCTGTATAAACTGTCCATAAAAATATGAGACAATAAGTTGTGGAAAGCCACAAGAGGCCTCTGAGAAGAAAAGCCTCCTAATTGCCATCATGTTCCCATGCTCAGAGTGAGACCCCCTGTCTTATCTGTAAACACTCTGTTCAAGGAGAAAGACCCTCCTTTGAAGCATTGGACAGACATGCAGTCTTCTAGCTAAGCCCACTTCCACCAGCTACTCTCCGATAATTTAAAGACATGCTGTTTGAGCACAAAGGAGATTCATTTAAAACTCTATTGCTATAGATTACGCCTATGACCCACTGCCTCCCTTTCACTGTTTCTCCCTGAACATCTGCTTCTTAGATCTGAGTGACTGTACTCAAAAAATAGTGTGGAGACCAGAGCTCTGAGCCTTTTGCAGCCTCCATTTTGCAATTGGCCCCCTGGCCCCCACTCTTTATGAACTCTTAACCTGTCTCTTCTCATTCCTGTGTCACCAATGGACTTCAGGAACCCTACGGGTGGCGTTGAGGCTGGTCCCCAACATGTCTGTGCATGCTGAGGCCTAGCACGGGGCATTGAACAACACATGTCCACTGGAGGAGTGAAGGAATGAGCAGAACGAGCAAAGAAATAAATAAACTCAGCCAGGGAAAAGGGCCGAGTCACAGAGACAGAGTTGGAGAGAAACCAGGTCTCCTGGGTGTTTCCTGGTTTTGAGTCTGAGATGAGATGTGAGAAGTGGGGTGGTGTTGGTGCTGGAGGACAGAGGGTTAGCTCAGAGGTCAGAGGCAAGGGTCTGGGGTTACAATAAGGGAAAGTCACCCACCTGGATACTCAATGATGGCTGCAGCAACGTAGAGGCGCAGCCCCTGGAGGTCAGTAATGCCCATATTCAGCTTCTCCAGGGCGTCCTGGAACTCTGCCTTTGAGAGGGAAATGTGGCTCTGTCCATTCACCAGCTGGGGCATAGAAAGAAACAGGACATAGGGTGAGACTGAGTCTCCCACCTCACCTCCCTTGCCCCTTCCCCTCCCCAGCCCCTATTCTCCTTCCTACCTTGGTCTGACTCTCCAGCCCCCGAAAGAAAGTCTTCTTACCATCCTCATCTAGGAGCCCAAAGCGCACATATGCCACCCCCTGCACTGGCTTCCCATAGATGTACCTGTCGTGGCAGAGAGAAGAGGGTGGGCCAAGGGCTGGGGGGAATAATGGCCCGAGGGCAGGGAAGCAGGAGCCCATTCATACTGAGTAGGGAGCAGGACCCGGTGCTGGTGGGCAGAGGTGGGGAGGGAGGTATTACCTGGCCTGGATGTCTAACTGCATTTCATCAAGATGGCCTGGCACCGTCAGGATGTAGGGCTTTCCAGGGGTGATCTTCACCTCAAAGTTGGGAAGGACTGACCCAGGGTGAAGGGATAGGCAGGTCAGACTCCAGCTCAAAGACTCCCCTCTGCTCAGGGCTGTGGCACCCATATCTCCCTGCCCTGAGCTGCTCCCAGTACCTCTCCTTCCACCCTTATTTCCTTCAGGAAAGCAGCTGCCTGTCCCTCCAGTTTCCAGCTCTCACCATATTTCTTCACCTCAAACTGGGTGCTGCTGTTGGATTCCAGGCCATCTGAGAATCGGGCTGAGATCTTCCAGGTCCCTGGCCTGAGAATGGACAAGGAAGGGGCTCAGCCCATCTGTACAGTGGGGCACGGAGAGCCAGCAGCCTGCTTCCCTGGGAAGAGGACTGTGGGGGTTAACCAGAGGCTCAGGAGGCTGAGGGTCAGGGCATCTGGGGACGTGCCTCTGTGTGGGAGGTGGAGAGCCTAACAGGAATTGGGGTGGTGTAGCTTGGGGGCAGCCCCCACATTGGGAGCGCTCACTCTGAGATGTCTGGGATCACAAAGTCATCCTGGAAGATGGACGAGGGCATGTACACCTCCTTCTTCCGCACGCGGAGGCCGTGAGAGTTCTGCAAGGGGAGAAGTGCTCACAGGCAGGAGGTCACATCAGTGGCCAGGATCAGGAAGGCCAGAGGTCGGGGACTCACCTCCACCATGACTGTGATGGTGTCAGTGCTCGGGCGCATCTTCTGATCCAGAGCAAAGACCCGGTACCGAACTGGGAGTGGAGGAGGAGAGAGGTGAGCAGGGGTCCATGTGCAAGGGGAGGGTGGGTCAAACTCCACAGAGGGAGCAGGGGACAAATGTTTCCTAAGCACCCCTTCTGTGTGGCACTTTCTTTCAGGTTATCTCACTTAGGGGGCACCAAACTCATCCTGAGAGGGCTCGGAGGGGGTTAAAGGTTGAGGCCCTGGGGCTGAGACTCACCCCGCTGGCCAGGGTTGTAAATGGGCTGGTCCGTCTGCAAAAAGAGGTGCCCCCGGCGAGAGGAGAAGAGCAGGTTGATACCCTGGATGTTTGTCGTTCTGGACAGAGAGTCCTTTAGCCATGGCGAATGGGCCACCAGCTGGACCTCAGGGCCTCTGAGGAGTTGATGGAGGCCACAGCTCTTCGCATCTTTCAAGGGCACCTGTCAGGAGAGGGAGAGGGAGAGGGAGCGGGTCACAGAGCAAGAGACAGCTGACCAAAAAGGACAGAGACCAAGGGAGAAACGTGGAAGGAGAATGCCAGGGTGGGAAGACAGGAGGGGAGGAGGCCAGTGGGAAGATGATGACACTTACAAGACAGATGGGAACAGGGCAGGAGGCCCCCACAAGCAGCAGGAGGGCATGGGGTCTGGTTACCTGGAGACTGAGGAGTGCGAAGTCTCTTTCTGAGCTAAGGGTGAAGTCCACCTTTGGGGAGCAGGGGACATTATTACGAGATGGGTTTCTCAGGAACACTGATCCTTTGACTACCTGTCCTCGGGGCACATCCTGGAGCTGCACCCCCACCGATAGGGGGACCCCCAGATGAACCACAGAAGGAGAGAACAAGAGCAACCTGGGGAGAACAGACAGGATCAGCAGTCAGACTTCGCTCTGACACCTCCACCCCTGCTCTCCCTCACTCCTGAATCGGGTCCCGATGCCAGCCCTGCCCCAATCCAAGCACCCAGCATCCCGCCTCCAGGACCTGGGCTTCTGCAGAGATAAGGTGAAGAAGCTGGATGCCCAGATCAGCCCCCAGAGCAGCCTCATGGCTGGAGGATCCAAGAGAGGTTAGATCCGTCTGTCTGTCTGCTACCTTCTGGCCAAGCTAGGCCTCGGGGCAGAGTTGACTCTGGACCTTGCTCCTCCCCCAGCCCAGCTAAGCTGGGAAACCACGTGACAGCCAAGAAGTGCAACTGGCCTCAGGCCCAGAGTTGTGGGGGCACCCCGGACACCTGGGTGTCCATGGGAAACTCTGAATCTTGGCCCAGAAATAACCCTGTCCTTCCCCGTTAACTCCTCTCATTCCAGTGCCTGAGCACCTCCCCCTACCAGGTATATCTGTATCAGGGTATAGGTGCACACAAGCTCATGTATACCTGGGCGTACAAGGGCCCAACATGGCCCACGAGTACAGGATATTTAAAGGCCCTCACAAAACAATGACAGGCTTCTAAGACACTTGTCTCTTACTTTCATTCCAACACAAATTGAACTATACTAGGCTTTTGCTTTTTTAGGCCCTAACAGAAATTCCGTGGTTTAGGAGATTAGGTACACCCTCACCACTCCACAGGGAGAATGGCCTGAACGTCAGAGTGAACCCCTGACCCCTTTCCTCTCTGAATGAGGCAAAGCTCAGACTTCACCTCTACCCCTAAACAAGGCACCCAAACACACGTCACAGTAAATAAAGGACATCCAGAAAATATCACAGGCAGAGGTACTTTATTTGGCAATTTTAACATGACACGTAGAGAAAAGAACCCTGCCCTCCTTCACCAGCCTCCCCAGAAATCCCACCTTCCTATTTCAAGACAGAGTAATAACAGCACCATTTTACACGAAAGGGAACAGCCACAGCCTTGGCACCATTTCTGGTTCCACTTTCCATGGAAGGGCAGAGAAGCATTGCTCAAACCCCACCACTGGGTCAGAAACCAGGCAAACAGCAGCAGTCACATCTGACCTTTTGCACACACGAGAGCCCGACACTCATCCTGGCTCCCAAGCCTTCCCAAGGTGACCCTGTCTCAGCCACCATCATGCAGCTCTTCTAGTCCCCTCCCGGCCCACTCTGAGGAGCTGAGCAATGATGAGCAGAATCTTCATGTCTCTGGCAGGCGGAGGAGGGTTCCTGAAGTGGTAGAGATGCTGTGCAGGAGAAAGACAAGGCTGGAGCCAGACGCCTAGGCTCAAGCTGTGAGGAGAACTTAGAACTTGGGAAGGGGTGCTCCCGGGTTCCAGAGAAGAATGAGAGCCACTGGCCTTCACTAGGAAACTAAGCATGAGCTGGGAGGAAATCCCACTTTGGGTCATTGCTCCATAATCTGCCAGAGGCCAGGGAAAGACTCACCAGTCCACTAGCTGGGCCCCAATGAGGTCGTGCACATGGTAGGTGAGGCCAAGCCGCACCACGACAGGCACCCGCCGGCCCAGGAGCTCTGATAGGAGCAGCTCCCGGTACTTTGCCTTCCGGACCATGCCAAGGACAGCCTGGCGCCCTAGAGGAGAAGTGGCACAGGAGAGGGGAAAGGTGAATAAGGCCTAGAGGCCTGAGGAGCCACCAAAAGGTGAGGGGCTGCAGGCTTGAGCTGCAGATGGGATACCTTTAACAAAGTACTTGTGCATTTGGTCTGAAGACAAAGATGACTGCAGGAGTGGGCAGGCCGGAGTGGGGTGACCTGGCCTGTGCCCAGGAAGGAGGAGGAGTCTGCAGCCCTGTGGGCTTCAACATCCATCAAGGAGTCCAGAGCAGGAGCCAGGCCAGGCGGGAGGGAAAGGCCCTGGGAGGGGCTCTCTAATCTCCCAGCCCCGACTCTGCCCCGTCACTGCCGCTGCTCCTCATTACTCGCTGGGGCTGCTGTCGCCTCCCCGAAGGGTGGCCTTGTCCAGATAGTGGCAAACCTCCCTGCCGTGGATGAGTCAGGAGCATTTTCTTAAGAGGAACATCACTGGAAAACAAAATGAGCGGGGACACAGAAACCAACAGCAGTGGCTGCATTTGTGGTACAGGCTCCTCTTCCAGAGCTCGCTGATGCCCACCTCAGACAGGCCTGACCACGGCACGGCTGGTGGGATTTGCCAGTCACCTCAACCAGCCAGTTCCACCCTCAGCTTCTCTCAGAAGGGAGCACCACACTCCTCAAGCTCAGTGAATGTATCCCGGCATGGGTGGGGCCAGAGCCTGTGATATCTCGAGGTGGGCTCGGCAGGACACCGGGGTGTGGAAGGGGGAAGCGAGCACCTGACTCAGACAGCGCGGGAGCTCGCAGGAGTCACGAGGCCACAGCGACTTCATTGTCTGACTGGGCCTGGACCTATAAACTTCCCACCTCAGCCTTGGGCCAAGCCTGGAAGATAAAAATGGAGCACCCCATGGCGCCCCTCACTCAGATTCTCCCCTGGGCTTCTCCCACGCAGCCCCAGAAGAGGACACACCAGCCCCAGAGTTAGCCCCAGAGGCCCCTGAGCCTCCTGAAGAGCCCCGCCTAGGAGTGCTGACCGTGACCGACACAACCCCAGACTCCATGCGCCTCTCGTGGAGCGTGGCCCAGGGCCCCTTTGATTCCTTCGTGGTCCAGTATGAGGACACGAACGGGCAGCCCCAGGCCTTGCTCGTGGACGGCGACCAGAGCAAGATCCTCATCTCAGGCCTGGAGCCCAGCACCCCCTACAGGTTCCTCCTCTATGGCCTCCATGAAGGGAAGCGCCTGGGGCCCCTCTCAGCTGAGGGCACCACAGGTACCACCAGGCGTCTCCGGCCTCTAGCCTAGGACTCAGAAGGGAGAAACGGGGGCTCAGAAGGGGTGGTCGCAGGGAAAGAGCGTGAGGCGGGTACCAGGGAGAGAGGATGGATGGGCTGGATGCGAGTGGCCTTTAGCTCTGCCCCACAGGACCCCCCTGTGGCTGCAAGTCCCTGGTTACAGATAGAGAAACGGGGGCAGGGAGGGGGGTGGAAGGGACGTGCTCTGGGTCACCAAGCTGGTGTGCTTCTGTCTCCAATCCCTTCTCCCCCACCCACTCCGTGCAGGGCTGGCTCCTGCTGGTCAGACCTCAGAGGAGTCAAGGCCCCGCCTGTCCCAGCTGTCTGTGACTGACGTGACCACCAGTTCACTGAGGCTCAACTGGGAGGCCCCACCGGGGGCCTTCGACTCCTTCCTGCTCCGCTTTGGGGTTCCATCACCAAGCACTCTGGAGCCGCATCCGCGTCCACTGCTGCAGCGCGAGCTGATGGTGCCGGGGACGCGGCACTCGGCCGTGCTCCGGGACCTGCGTTCCGGGACTCTGTACAGCCTGACACTGTATGGGCTGCGAGGACCCCACAAGGCCGACAGCATCCAGGGAACCGCCCGCACCCTCAGCCCAGGTAAGGACCCACACACACTCTGCCCCAAAGTGGGGGTCTTTGTACTTCACGGGGGGGACCTAGTGCCTCAGCCAGCGGTGGGGGTGGGCGAGTTGGTGGTGGGCCTGGAGGAATCTGCAGAGCGACTTCCATTCCTGGGGACTAGAGGAAAAGGGGTGGTGAGCCTGTGCTGGAGCAGAGGCGAGGGGGGGACTCGCAGGGAGGAGCCTCCCTGCCCCTGCCTGCGTCATTGTTCCTTGACCCCTCTGCAGTTCTGGAGAGCCCCCGTGACCTCCAATTCAGTGAAATCAGGGAGACCTCAGCCAAGGTCAACTGGATGCCCCCACCATCCCGGGCGGACAGCTTCAAAGTCTCCTACCAGCTGGCGGACGGAGGTGGTGCCTTTGCCATGTGCTCATCGCCTCGCATTTCCTCTCCCCCCTGCACTCTGCCCACCCTCCAGCCGCCCTGGGGTTCCCTGGGTAACCCTCGATCCCCAACGTTTTCAGGGGAGCCTCAGAGTGTGCAGGTGGACGGCCGGGCCCGGACCCAGAAACTCCAGGTGGGAGTCAAGAAAATGGCATGGGTGGGAGTTGAGAGAGAACGAGGAGGGTGAAAGGGAGGTGGTGGAGGCTCCGATTGCGGACGGGAGGCCAGTGGAGTCTGGGGAGGCACGGAGTAGAGAGAGCCGCGGGGACCCTTCTGAGCCCCTCCCCTTCCCCCAGTTCCTGACGGTCCCACACAGTTGCGTGCACTGAACTTGACCGAGGGATTCGCCGTGCTGCACTGGAAGCCCCCCCAGAATCCTGTGGACACCTATGACGTCCAGGTCACAGCCCCTGGGGGTGAGCAGGCCTGAGGCCTCTGGAGGGGACTTGTTCAGGGTGGGGATTGCAGGGGGGAGGCTGGACTCTGGCCGAGGATGGAGGGGGCAGGCCTTGATGCCCCTCTCTACACTCCCAGCCCCGCCTCTGCAGGCGGAGACCCCAGGCAGCGCGGTGGACTACCCCCTGCATGACCTTGTCCTCCACACCAACTACACCGCCACAGTGCGTGGCCTGCGGGGCCCCAACCTCACTTCCCCAGCCAGCATCACCTTCACCACAGGTAGGGTCTGTGGGGTGTGTGGGACAGGGAGAGGAGGTAGAGGGAGCCAGGTTGGGCCTCATCCCCATCTCCTCTTCCTGCTTTCCCTCCTAGGGCTAGAGGCCCCTCGGGACTTGGAGGCCAAGGAAGTGACCCCCCGCACCGCCCTGCTCACTTGGACTGAGCCCCCAGTCCGGCCCGCAGGCTACCTGCTCAGCTTCCACACCCCTGGTGGACAGACCCAGGTGCCCCGGCCCCACTGACCCAACTCCCCTCCCTGGGTGATTCCAGGAGGTGCTGCCTCTGGCCCTCCCGGAGGGTCTCCACCTCCCTCTCCCCTGACCCCCCCTTGTCTGTCCCACAGGAGATCCTGCTCCCAGGAGGGATCACATCTCACCAGCTCCTTGGCCTCTTTCCCTCCACCTCCTACAATGCACGGCTCCAGGCCATGTGGGGCCAGAGCCTCCTGCCGCCCGTGTCCACCTCTTTCACCACGGGTACCTGGACGCACGGGCCCGGGGCCGGGGGCTGGGTGGGCAGCCAGGGCCTAAGGCTTGGAAAAGGACTGGCCCCTGCTCTCCTCTCCCAGGTGGGCTGCGGATCCCCTTCCCCAGGGACTGCGGGGAGGAGATGCAGAACGGAGCCGGTGCCTCCAGGACCAGCACCATCTTCCTCAACGGCAACCGGGAGCGGCCCCTGAACGTGTTTTGGGACATGGAGACTGATGGGGGCGGCTGGCTGGTGGGTGGCATTGGGAAGCCCAGGGGTCTGTGCAGGGCAAGGGGCTGTTGCCCCGGGAGCCAGAGGCTGATGGTGCCCCCACTTGCTTCCCAGGTGTTCCAGCGCCACATGGATGGACAGACAGACTTCTGGAGGGACTGGGAGGACTATGCCCATGGTTTTGGGAACATCTCTGGAGAGTTCTGGCTGGGTCAGTGCCTCACAGGGACTGGGGAACTACGGATGGGGATGGGGGCCCTGTGGACACCAGGACCCTGATGAGGGCACGTATCCCACCCCCAGGCAATGAGGCCCTGCACAGCCTGACACAGGCAGGTGACTACTCCATGCGCGTGGACCTGCGGGCTGGGGACGAGGCTGTGTTCGCCCAGTACGACTCCTTCCACGTAGACTCGGCTGCGGAGTACTACCGCCTCCACTTGGAGGGCTACCACGGCACCGCAGGTAAGCAGAGGCTGTGAGGCTGGGAGGGTGAGGCTGGGAGGGGAGGCCCTCATGGCTCCTTCCTCCACCCTGCCCAGGGGACTCCATGAGCTACCACAGCGGCAGTGTCTTCTCTGCCCGTGATCGGAACCCCAACAACTTGCTCATCTCCTGCGCTGTCTCCTACCGAGGGGCCTGGTGGTACAGGAACTGCCACTACGCCAACCTCAACGGGCTCTACGGGAGCACAGTGGACCATCAGGTGAGGGGTGGGGAGGCGGCTCAGAGCTGGGGTGGCTGGGGCTCGGCCTGCCTAGGTTTCAGCCCCACAGTGTAACAGGCAAGGGACTGAGCGGCTGGGTGAAATGGAACAATCATGCCAGCCTCGCAGAGGGAGCTGGAGTTGATTTATTGGCTGGAAAGGACCAGCTCAGGATTAAGCCTCAATCCTCTGCGGCAGAGGGTCAGGAAGGGAGCTCTGCGGGGAGGTTGGTTGAGTGCTGGGAGCCACCTCCTTAAGGGGAACGGGAGGAGCAGATGGGACATCCGGCTTTGACTCTCTCTTGACAACCCCTTTCCCAGGGAGTGAGCTGGTACCACTGGAAGGGCTTCGAGTTCTCGGTGCCCTTCACGGAAATGAAGCTGAGACCAAGAAACTTTCGCTCCCCAGCGGGGGGAGGCTGAGCTGCTGCCCACCTCTCTCGCACCCCAGTATGACTGCCGAGCACTGAGGGGTCGCCCCGAGAGAAGAGCCAGGGTCCTTCACCACCCAGCCGCTGGAGGAAGCCTTCTCTGCCAGCGATCTCGCAGCACTGTGTTTACAGGGGGGAGGGGAGGGGTTCGTACAGGAGCAATAAAGGAGAAACTGAGGTACCCGGCTGGCATCGGTCCTGCCCCATCACTGGCTCTGGCCCGGGCTGTGGGCCCCCATCCCCCGGGGCTGCAGCCGCACTTGGAAAGGCTGCATCTTGAGGATGACACTGCAGTGGGGCAGGGGCTGCAGGGAGGGCAGGGCGTCCCCGGAGGGCAGCAGCGTGAAGGCCTGCAGCAGTCGGGTCAGCACCACGAAGAGCTCCAGGCGCGCCAGCGGCTCGCCCAGGCACACGCGGGCACCGCAGCCGAAGGCCAGAGCTCTGGAGTTCTTGCCTGGCTCCAGGAAGCGATCTGCGGGCGGGTGGACAGGTGGGTGGGGAGGCGTTCAGCGGCAGCGGGGACCAGCCTCCACCACATTTTCACGGCAGGCCCCCGGCCCCCCACATACCAGGCCAGAACTCATGTGGCCTCTCCCAGACCGTCTCATCCAGGTGGGCGCCTTGGAGGTTCGGAATGATGACTGTGCCCTCAGGGATGTCGTAGCCGGAGATGCTGAAGGGGGCTGGAGTTAGAGGCTGGCCAGGACCTCCCTGGGCTCGGGCTTTCCTCACTCATCCCCAACCCTCGGGAGTCACCTGCTGGGCCGTGTGGTGCGGTGGGGCAAGGCTAAGGGCACAACGGGCCACAGGCGCAGCACCTCGGCGATGGTGGCATTGAGCAAGGGCAGCCGTGCACGGTCCTTGTAGGGGACCCGGGAGCTGGAGGCACCAGGGCCCAGTTCGTGGTCTAGCTCCTCCTACAGTCGCTGCTGAATCTGGGGAATGATCGGGTGGAGTCCTGCCCCAGCAGCCCACAGCTGCCCAGCCTCCAGCCGCTCCCTCAGCAACCCAGTGAGCCTGAGTGCCGGTGAGGCAAGCACAGCCCCAGCCGCACAGTGCTCAGAGCTGAGTGAGGGTGCCCACCGCCCTGGCCAGGTTGCTGGGAAGGAGCCTTTTGCTTGTCCGCAGGACGCACCTCAGGGTGGTGAAGCAAAAAAAACCACGGCCCAGGAGAGGGTGTTTGCTGTGGTCTCAGTGCCACCGATCAGGAGGTCCACTGCAGCCATGTGCAAGTGCCCTTCCAGGAGCTGTCCAGAGCCCTCTTCCATGCTCGGCTGCGCCACCCCTTGGAGCATGTAGTCCATCATGTCCCTCCACTGGCCTGCCACCAGGCTCTCCTGCAGAGGGTGAAAGGAGCGGGCTGAGCGGCTGGCCTGGGGAGAGGAGTACAGAGTGGCAACAGGCCCATAACTGGGGTATGCAAAAGAACCCGCCTCATAGCAATGCTGAGGCCGGTAGCATCACTGGCTGTGGGCCGAGGGGAGGCCGTCCACACACAGTCCCCACCTTGTGCTGCCTCAGCTGCTTCTCCTCGTTGTGGTCCCTCTTCTCTATGGCCTGCTTCAGCCTCCGGAGACCTGGATTGGGGAAGAACTGCGGCAGGAAGCATGAGAATGCAGCTGTGGGAAGGAGCCTCTCCCTCCACCCCAGCCTCTCCCCCACAACCCAGGGGTGTCTAGGCTCCAGGTCCTCACCCTGAGAAAGGGAATCACGTCCACAATTTGGATGGACCAGTGGCTCCAGGTTTTTAACACCTCCTGGATACATTTGTAATAGGCAGGCATTAAGTTGTCCTCCTGCCAGGAAAGGATGGAGTACTTTCAGTTCAGGACAAGGAGAGGCTCAGGGAGGGGCTGGGGGTGGGCCTGAGGGGCTGTGAGGCACCTTGATCTTGTCTCCGAAGGTGAGGTAACAGTTGATGCTGCAGGTGAGGAGAGAGAATTCCTCCTCAATGGCCACAGGGGTGCCGGGCTGGGCTCTCATGCGCTGTGGAGAAACAGTGTGAGTTCAGCAGGCCGCTGTGCAGCGGGCAGGGCGGGGGCTACTGTGAGAGGCGAGGCTGACCCGAGGTGGCCTCAGGAGCCCAGCCTTACCTCACAGAACTCCTGGGTCAGCTGCTCCACCACTGGCTCCATGGAGTCACGGATGCCCAGCAGCAGGGCTGAGCGGGTGAGCTTCTTGTGGGCTTTCCAGAGCAGAGACCAACGACAGGTCCGGGTAGTTCTTAGACACCAGCTTGTCTGCAGGAGGAGCTGGGGGCTGGAGGGTGGGAACTGACCAAGGAAGCCGAGGGCCTGACCTTCTTCTGCCTCCTCAACACCTGCTTCTTCTCCTGAAGATATGCCCCCCAAGAGCTTCCAGTGACCTGGAGGATTGGGGAAGCCCCCGAAGGTGGCTCCCACTTGAGGCCGAGGTGGGAGGATCACTTGAGACCAGGAATTCAAGACCAGCCTGGGCAACATAGCAAGACCCCATCTCTAACAAAAAAAAAATTTGTTTAAGAAAGAAAAAATGCCCCCAGCCCTTACAGGTAAGTGGCTCAGGTCTGCCAGCAAAGTCTGCCCACTTTTTGACCATGGCTTCCTCAATGGTCCTCTTGGAGTTCAGCACCACCACATCTGGGAGACAGCCAAAGCAGCGTCAGCGGAGAGAGGACCCTCTCCGTCACCTCCGCCCCCTCCTATGGTGAGGGCCAGAGCGAGATCAGCCTCTCACCTTGCAGCCCAAGGTGGAGCCTGTAGATGGGCCCGAATTTCTGAGTCAGGCCAAGCAGATAGATGGGGAGGTCGGGCTGCAGCAGGTGCAAGAAGCCCGGGGCAAGAGGCAGGAGGTGGAGGCTCCGGAGCTTCCACCAGTTCCACAGCAGGCGGGCGCCAGCCAGCAGGGGCAGCAGCAGCAGCAGGCCCAGGAGCAGCATGGCAAGACGCCCGTCAGGGCCCTGAGGTGCCACTTATAGCTCAAGAGCCCCAGCCATCCCTCCTGCTGTGTAGACTGTTTTGGGGCCTCCCTTGACCCCACCCTCAGGTGCCTTCCCACCGACCCACCCACAGAGTGGCCCTTTTCTGGAATGACACCAGTCTCATTGGCCTTGGGACGTCCGTATTTCAAAAAAAATTAATCACCCATCGAGAAGCAAGGAAGGGAAATGCAACCCTGACCTTTTTCCTGCATCCAGAGTCAGCTTTCTGGTTCCACATCACCCGTGCAGGCAAGGGTGTCCGCCCCGACCTGGGCCCTCTCCCTCTGCCACCCCACCGTGGGCCAGTTTACTGGCATGATGTTTGTCTCAGAGAGAAAATGGCAGTCCCTGCCTAATAGGCCTTCCTGAATCGCCTGAAGAACAAAATGTGATTTGTGTGGGTTTGTCTGTTAGTTTAAGCTACAGATAGAGTAATACAGTTTAAGCCTGGTTTGCCTGGGGCATTCCAGTATATACAGGTATCCCAGTGTGATTGTTATTAGTGCCTCCTTTCACTCACAAAAGTGCCCAGAAGACAAAGGAGGAAGTGGTTTCCCGCTGCGGAGTAATAGCATGTACCAGACACTGCTCTAAGTGCTTTGTGGGCACTCACTCAACTCTTCACAGCCATGCTCTATATGCAACACGGGTATTGTTCGCATGTTGTGGAGGGCAGGATTCCAGCCTGGAAATCTAGCTGTCGAATATGTACCTTTAGCCACCAGGAGCACCTTTCTTTGGTTGAAAGGAAAACAGCCCACCTTGAGCTGGTTTGAGACAAAAAGTAAGGATTGGGGAATTTCACAGAACTCAGGAAAAAGAAGCAGAGGAGGGGACCCCACTGGTCTTAGAAAGCCAAGGATAGGGAACAGAAAAAGCCCCGGAGACGGGCAGTTTCCTCGCTCTGTTCCTCTCTCCTCTTTCTTCTCTCTGCAGTCAAGTTTCTTGTGTTTCCAGGCACAGGCAGAACATGACTGCCCTCAGGACTACAGTCCACAGGTTCTACTCCAGCCAGGGAAAGTATGGATTCCCAGCACAACTGGGCATGCCCCCCCTCAAAGTCCAAAGTCCCCAGGAAGGGGCTGGATAGCCACAGCTGGATCAGGATCAAGGGTCCAGCCCTATTTGGGGAACTGAAGCCATAAGGGGTGGGGGTCCCACTGGACTGACACTCAGAGACCACTTTTGTGAGTAAGGAGGCAGTTTGGGGATTTGGGAAGAGGCCATGCCAAAGAGGAGTGGCCGGGTTCAGTGAGAGGCCAGGGCCTCCTGGATGGTACCTGAGAGGTCAGAGGCGACCCAGCCCCATACCTTCCCCCCCATTTCTGGCTCTGTGCCAGACCCTCGGACCAGTGGGGGTCTCTCTCCCCTCAGAGCTTTTCCAGACTGTGCTACTGCAGAGCCAGAGTCAAGACCCTGGCTGTGCCACCCACTACATTGGCGAGTTCGCTGCTGCTGAATCCATGATCAGGACTGAGAGGGAGAAAACAGGATTGGGATTTCTGGGGTTGGGCAATGACAGCTACTGCCTTCTTCATGGTTGACCTCCCAGACCGGGCCATGTCTTGCTGCAACTGAATCCCTGGCTCCGGAAAATGGGCTTATGCCACCACCATGCTGAGCAGCTACTGGGAGAAAGATCTGATGAGCAACCATAGGGCCATGTATGCAAGAGCCTCAGGAAACCTCTGCCACAGTGGGAAAGGCCCAAACTTCTCAAAGTTACGTGGGATAAGACAGTGCTCATCGGAAAGGAGCGCACCTGGAAGGCTGACGTGCTTACTACTTGTCTCACCATCTCCATCTCTTCCACCACTTCCAAATCCAAACTCCGAATGTGGTCAATTACATGCAATGTCCCCAAAGGTACCCTGTCCTGCCCCCGGCCTCTGGGCCTTTGTATATTCTCCTTCTGCCCCAGATGCCCTCATCTACCCCTGCTCTTTGCCTGGCTCCTTCTCAGTCTTCAGAGCCCCACTTGGAGGCCACCTGCTCCAGGAAGCCTTCCCTGTCCCTGCCTGGCAATGCCCCTGACTTGGTTAGATGCCCCACAGGACCACACTGCTCCCTGACATCACATCTTTCACAGAGGGTGGGGACTGCCCGTCCTCTTATCTGTCTCCCCAGCGATGAGCCCTGGAGTGAGCAGCTGTATCTCTGGCACCTGGCACAGGGCATGGCATGAAGTGAAAGATTCCCGAATTTCTGTCGAATGACTGGATGGCAGGCTGCTGAACTGTCATGACCTCTACGGAAACTGATCTCACCAAACTTCTTTGGACAGACGCGGAGTCATCTCTGAAGACCCCAGGTGTGCCACTAAATGGGGGAAAGTTAGGCAGGTCCGGTGGGAAGGGGAGACCCCAGGAGAACAGCGGCTTCCTCAGAGGATTCACAAACACACCAAAGTCAGACTTTTGGCTTGTTTGAAACCAGTAACTGGAAGAAGACACTGCCGGACCTGAGGATTGCACAACTCCGGGAAAGTCACCTCATTCCACTGATAACAGAACCAAGCGTCAGCAGGCTTTCAACAGCCCGGAACTCAGCTAAAATCTGCAGACCTCAGAACCGCCAGCAGCACGAGGACAGAGTCGGGGAGGTGTAGCTGGACAACAGCTCATGAGGCAGAAGAGCTGTGTCACAGGTGTCAGCTGAGCACAAGCCCTGTCTGAGGCCGTGGTGACTGGCGACAGCCGGGCAGTGGAGGGCCTTGGAAGCTGAAGGGTGGTCTTGGCATGGACTCTGGTCCTTGGGGTGCAGGCTCTTGGGTCCCAGTTCTGCTCGGGGTGGTCCTGTGAAGCACTAGACTCCTAGCGGGTCATCTGGGAGGTTCTAGCAGAGCTGAACAGCCCAAGGGTCATCAGGGCTCAGAGAGTCTAAGGTTATGTCAACCTGGCCTGCCCAGAACTGCATCGGGCAGGGGCACTGCTCTCAGCCCTAGCAACACACACTGACACTTCGCTGCCAACACTGACACTTTGCTGCCAAAAGCCTTTAATATGCCCTGGTCCCAGGCTGTGTTCATGAAAGCGGACACAGCAGTGCTTCCAGCTTCATGGTTCCCAGGTTCAGGTTCCTCCCAGCGGAGGTGGGAGGGCAGCCCTCACACCTGGCACCCCTGAGTGCC
Source organism: Homo sapiens (assembly GCF_000001405.40). Lineage (NCBI taxonomy): Eukaryota > Metazoa > Chordata > Mammalia > Primates > Hominidae > Homo > Homo sapiens. The sequence goes on along the minus strand of NT_167249.2, from coordinate 3,303,705 downwards.
ATACTCCTGGAGGAAGTCGTTGAGCTGGGCACAGGCTGCCCGCTGGCGGGTGCTCCGGCACAGGCGTTCAGAGGGCATCTCCTCGATCCAGCTATTCGAGTCCAGCAGGTACTGGGGGCTGCAGGGGGCAAAGGGGCAGTCAGCAGGGCTCGGGAGGATGGCAGGTGGAAACGGAGAGCACAGGCATCTGGCTTCTGAGGGGCAAGGCCTAGGTGGCGAGGCATGGGGAGGACAAGAGACTGAGGGGACCAGATGACTCACTGTCCCTCGAGGTCATAGGTGGCCCCATCTAGACCCATGATCAAATATTCTTTCCCAGGTTCCAAGCGAAGGCGGCAGGAGGCTCGAACCAGGAAGTTGCGCATCTGATTAGCAGCGGCCTTGACATCCTTGGCTGCGGGGATGACGTGCGCAAAAGTGGTCAGAGGGGAAGAGAAGGTGCAGGGTGAGCCCAGGCTGGGGACTCTGTGTAGATCCTCTCATTCCACCTTCGCCACCCCCATGGAGAGGTGCCACTGCCTCCCTATTTATGGCCAAGCCCAAGGCTTCTGACAGCCCAAGGGGATTTTCACACTTCCAGATGGTCAGGTCCTCGGCCACACCTCAGCCTCCCTGTCTCCCCCCAGCCCTGCCCGCCTCTCCGGTTTGCTTCATACTGAAGTGCAGGACTTGGGTGATCTTGGTCTCAAAGAGGCGGAAAGCAGCTCTGCTGTCTTCTCGGAGAACCTTAACCTGGAAGCCTAAGAGGGGGTGAGGAGAAGGGGGAAAGGTGAGTTACTTTGAGGCTGAGAGGGTAGGAAGTTGGTGTCAGAGCAAACAGGCTGCGTGCATGACCTGTAAGAGGAGCAGGCTACACCCAGAGAGACCAAAACGGCCGGTCCCCGAGGGAGGGTCAGGCCAGGGCCTCGGTGGGAAGACTGACCGTACTCCACACGGGGGTAGTAGCAGGCAAACTTCATCCTGTAGCCATCCTCGTCCTGCAGACCCCGCTCCAGGGCGCGACGCTGGCGAGGGCACTTCCCTGAAGTTGGGGAACCCATCAGACAGTGTGGGGGGGGCCCCGGCCATCCCGCCTCCACTGCCCCGCCCCAGGCCCTCAGTCTCACCCTCAGCACACTGGCAGACTTCAGCAGAACACAAGGTGGCCAAGAGTCTGCTCTTACTTGGTGCCCCGTAAAACACAGAACATCTGCGCTCTGGAGAACAGAGAGGAGTTAGGGCACAGGCCCCTCCATTCTGCCTCCTCAGTCCCAGGGAGCCCCAGGGCTCTCTGCCCCCTCACTACCCCGGTGTCCATTGTCCCATAGGAGGGCACCTATGCCAAAGTTCTCCTGAATTTCAGGGTGTCCTGCAGTGCTCACCGGGGTTGTAGTAGTCGTACAGGGTTGCGCTGGCCGGCTGCACCAGCCCCACCGGCACTTCCTGCACAGCCTCAAAGCCCACGCACTCCCGGGAGGTGGGGACCTGGCCAAGCGTGGGGAGGAGAGATGAGGGACCCACTCCCTGGGCCCTGCAGCCCCCTGTACTGGGTTTCCTTGGCCTGTTTTTGTTTGCTTCCTATTGGCCTTCTCTCCAGTGTCCTTCACATTCTGTTACCTTCCTACTCAGAGAACTCTCAAAGCTGCTCCGCAAGGTCTCTGGTGACTTCACTTCCCAGAGGGTGACCTTGCCCCAGTCTTCACTGCTCCAGGCCCTCAGCAGAGTCTTGCATCATGGACGTGTTCTCTGTGAAACTGTCCCTAAGCTAAGGGTTAGCTTCTGGACCACCCTTGGTTCTGACCTGGTCATTTCTTACGTTCCCTCCTTCGGAACTTCCTTCCTCAGAGCTCCCCTGTGGGGGTCTCAACCACTCCCTGGCTTCCACCAAACCAATCCAGGCTGATGATTCCCAAACTGAACTTGCAGCTCCATCCTTGCATTAGGATTGTGGCAGGACCTGTAAGTTCTCCAAGGCACTCTGCCTGCCCCCAAACCCACTCGCCCTCCTCGCGGCCTCATCTTTGTCATGGATACAACTGGGTCCTCCTTTATTTGCCACAACCTAACTGCAGGTTCTGTCATCCTGCCTGACCCCCCGACTCAGGTCCCAGGCCTGACCCCTCCTCGTGCCCACGCGGGCCCAGTCCACACGGTGCCGTGCCAGTGTCCCTCCTGAGCTAGGCTGCTGCACCGTCAGCTCCCTATCCGGGAATCTTGTTGGCTCTGTGTTTTCTATTGTGTTCAACCCAGATGTGTCAGCCAGGCTTCCCCAGCTGATGGGGGCTGGCCCCTCTGCACACACTGGGTAGGGGTCTCCCTGACCTACAAACAGCTGGCTAATGACAGCCACCACACCTTTCTCACATTTTCTCCCAGAGGTTACAGTAAATGTTCCAAAACTTTTTTTGAAGGCCGGGCATGGTGGCTCTGGCCTGTAAATCCGGTACTTTGAAAGGCCTAGGCCAGAGGATCGCTTGAGGCCGGGAGTTCAAGACCAGCCTGGGCAACAGAGCGAGACCCTGTCTTTACTAAATAAATAAATAAAAATGTTTTGAGAGCCGTAAGAGGGTTGATAACTATTTTAGCCAAATAAGGTCGTGAAAAGACAAATACAACTATCATCTATGGCCACCATCACTTTGTAAAGGAAAATACGCTTTAATATTAAAAAAAAGATAGGAAGTTCAACAAAAAAACAAAGGCAGCCCCTCAAGCTGAATAAAACCAGCATTAGGAAAGACTCCCTCTCAAACCCTGAGGGTCCCTGCTGACTGGCATCGGTCCCTGCCGCCTGCAGGTCTGCCCCTTACTCTGCTGTGTCTCACGGGCTCACATTCTTGTCCTTCTCTCTGATGACATCACAAGTTCTCAAGAGCACCAGCCGCTGACACAGCTGTCTCCTGAGAAACCTCCTAACGCATACTCAGTAAACCCGGTGCCATCGAGTCCCTTCCTGCCTCATCTCTCCCCACTCACCGAGTCAAAATACAGCAGGACGTGGGGCCCCTCGGTCTCAAAGTGACTCACGTAACGGTCAGAGAGGGAGGTCAGCTGTGGAAAAGGGGAGTTGGTCACAGGCCCTGCACATGACAGGGCTCAGTACCTGGGACAGAGGGGGTTGCCCTGGGTGGCTGACCACACCTTCTCCAGGTCAGCACGCAGGGCGTGGAATCCACTCAGGAGGGTGACGTCCGCGATGGCCATGCCAGACAGCCCCACCTTGCCGTTCCGCCTGTGGAGACGTGTGAGCTGTCGTCCAGGTTCTGCCTGCGCGGGCTCCAGAAGCCCAGCCCCAGCCTGGGTCCTGCCCTCCCTCCCCTGGCCCAGGGCAGCTCCCGGCGCCCACCAGATGCACACGGTGTAGTGCACCCTGGACTCCTGCTCCTCCACCACCTTGGGCGCCTCCCTCCTGCGGCGGTTCCTCCGACCCTCAAACAGCTGCAGGGGTGTCACGGGCTGCAGAGGGGCATCTGGGTCATCCTTGGCTGGAAGCTCATCGTACTCATAGTCCTCATAGTCCTCGTTTGCTTCCACTGCACAGGGAAGCATTGTGAGGAGGGCTGGGATGGCCACCCGGCTCCCTGCGCCAGCCCCTGCCTGGCCCCAAGGCCTCCCAACCCCCACACTCACTCGTGTACTCGACGTGGCCTTTGACTGTCACTTCTATCTGTAGGTCCTGGCAGGTCGTGTTCTTCATGTCCAGGACATTGTAGGTACGAAGGACCTGGCTCAGCAAGGGGCAGGGAGAGGACGTGGGACATGTGAGGCCACAGACCTCTCTGGTGCCATACCTAAGGGCATCTCCCTGGGCTACAGGATTTGAGGCCTTCAGCCCCTTTTCCTCCCCGTCACTGCACAGTCCACACACACGAGTGGCACCACATTCGCCACAGGCGTCAGGCGAGACAGAGAGGTAAAGAAGCAGGGGCCTGCCCCCAGAGGCCAACACTCCAGACTGTGCTGGGAAGAGGCTGGACTGAAAAGCTCAGGAAAGGCTTCTGGCCAAGGCTTGAAGGAGAAGAAAGAGCTTGTCCTGTGGGCCAAGAAGCAGGGAAGGACAGGAAAGGCAAGGGGATCTGTGTAGACAAGGAGAGCTGTCTGGCCGGAGGGGTGGGCAGAGGCCCAGCCATCTGAGCCGTGGGCAGCGGGGAGTGACTTTTCCCCAAGGCTGATCTGGCTGGGGCTTTTGGAAGGTCAGTGTCACTGCCGTGTGGACAGTGGATCAGACAGGGGAGACAGGAGGTAGAGAGAAGTTCCAGGTAGGGAGAAGGCCGTCTCAGCACAGAATCTAGGATGCAGCACCAAGGGCCACAGGCAGCAGGGGAGCAGAGGAGGAGTCACTAGGGACATAAGGACAGGCTTGGGAGAGGGGCCACTAACACGGCCTCTAGAGTAGTGGCTGGGCTCCTGGCTGGGAGGGGCTCCCACCAGCCAGACAAGAGACACAGAATGAAGAAGGGCTTTGGGACATGCCTCGTCTGAGGTGCTGTGGGAGTGGGACGAGTGGGGCCCATGGTTCAGGGAAGAGGCCTGGGCTGAGGAGTGGGATTCGGAGCCACCAGCACTGAGGCGGGTAAAGGAAACAACAGGTACCCAGAGATGGGGAGAGCAAGCGAAAGCAAGCAGGGGGAAAAACACCCAGGACGGAAGCACGGGACACCAACCCTGAGGTGTCTGCCTCCTTCCCCGGACCATGTGCCTCTGCCCACAGGCCTCTCACTCCACACCCTCTCCTCCACCAGTGCCTGGCCCCACCCCTTCCCTGGCCCTCACCTTCAGGGTTCCTTTGCTGTTTCCTCCCACCTTCACATTGATCTTGCTGCCCAAGGAAAACTTCAGCAACAGAAAAGGGAAGGCGATGTTAGAAGGGCACAAGCAAACCTGTTTTTGCGGCTCCAATAACTTATCTCCTTCCTCAAAACAGCCCCACCTCCTCTCCCCACCTCACATTTCCACAAAGTTTATACCAGCACATGAATTATCTCACTTCAGCCTTCTAACGACCCTGTAGGGTGAACTCTGTGTATGTTACTCTACAAGTGAGAAAACTGAAGCTCAGAGCTCCAGGTCACGCAGCCAGGAAGTCAGTCTTCCCCCGAAGACCCCAGGAAGAAGTGCTGCGGGGATTCCACGGGTGGGAGGGTGGGGACGGCTTCTGGCCTGGCCACGAGGCCCAGGTGTCCTGGCTACCCAGGCGAGGGAGTGGTTCACCAGGGAGTGGTTCACCTGCAGCTCCTCCTCCAGGCCGCGAATCTGGCGGTTGTTCAGCTGCAGCGCGTGGGACTTGAACCCATTCCGGCCTGTGGAGCTGAGAGTCACATTGAGACCCCTCTCCTCAGTGGTGTGGGAGGCAATCCAGTAGGCAGACAGGGCATCCAGGGCAATCACCGTGTCCTAGGGAGGTTGAGCCAGGACTCAAGCAAGCCCTTGGTCTGAGGACTACCCACCCCCGCCAGAGCCCGGGGACGGCCCCTACTTGGGTACTGCGGAATCCCCCTTGGAAGCTGCCCTGACGGGTGAGCCAGGCCGCAGCCTGGTCTGCCATCTCTGCTTTGCCCTCGTGAAGCAGGAGGTGCAGCAGGGCGTAGGCTGTGGTTTCAATCCACAGGGCTGGGGCCTGGGGCATGGGGTCGGATGGGTTGCGAGGAGCTGGGGTGGGCGACACGGCATTGCTCTGAGAACCAGTGACTGAGCCCCAGTACAGGTTATCTGAAAGTGAAGGGAGACCACGAGTAAACAGGAAGGCAGGGAGAAGAGCCTGGTCCCCTGGCCCTTAGCCACCCCCTGCTGGGCTCTCCTGAGTCTCCCCCAACCCACCCCTGCTTATAACTTCATTCCTCCTCTGAGTCTTCATCCAGCCTCTCCCTCTGGGCACACTCAGGGATCCTAAGGTCCCCTGGGCCTCAGGCTCACTGCCAGGAGCGCCTCACCCCTCACCTCCAGTCTCCTGGGCCATTGCCATGAGGTTGTTGTGGGCAACACCCCGCAGGTCCGCAGGGGCCTTGGTCAGTGTCAGGGCATAGGCCGTGATGGCAGCTGCGTGGGCACCCAGGAGCCCAGCACTTGCTTTCTCCCCCAAAAATGAGCTTGCCTTTGAGATGGAGGCTTCCTGGAAGAAAACGGGAGGAGGGTCTTGGGCCTGGACCCCTGGGTTCCTGAGGAAAAAGGGAGAGAGCTGGGGGCCAGCAGAGGGCAGAAACGCCACTGAACTTACCACTCTCTGCTTCAATGGCTCTGCACCCTCATCCTGGAAGACGGCCAGCCCATGATGAAGGGCGATGGTCACAAAGGCTGTGAGTGCCACAGTCTCATCATTGCCCACCAAACCCCCCTAGTAAGGGGAGAAAAGATGTCAAACAGGAGGGGGAAGGGGCAAAGAGAGTCCTCCGACAGGCGCTTCTCGGGCCAGCCCCAGCATGCCCGCACCTGCATGCTCCTATGTATCACTGGAGAGAGGTCCTGGAACGAGCCGTCAGCCTGCTGCTGGGACAGAAGCCAGTTAGATGTCTCCTGCAGTTTCTCAGGCGAGCCTCCTACCTGCTCCTGGGCCAAACTCAGGACCTTCAACACAAAGGCTGTGAGCCTGGAGGGCAGGAAAGGAGGGTTGGGGATAAGGACTTGCTTCTCATTATGCCCACGCCCCCAGGTGCCTGGTTATCCACCCTCCCATCATACCAGCTCTGTCCCACCCCTGCCCCAGCCCTGACCCCCTCAGAACCCTGGAACCACTCTCCCAAGCTCACCAGGTGCTGCTGCCCCGTGACAACCAAGCCGCATAGGAACCATCCGCCTTCCGAAACTGCTGGATCCGCATGTAGCCTTGGAGAGGAGAGGTGGCCGCTCAGGTGACACTCACCCTTCTGCTGTTTGAGCCCAAGGCCATGCTCCCCATCCTCATCAGGGGCCCCCTTTCTTTCCCTCTGTAGCCTCCTGGGCTGTCCATCTTCCAGTAACTGTCCTTTCCTGGCCCCCCTCCTGCTTGCCCTTGCACCCAGAACCTTTCTGGATCAGATCCACGGCGTGGTCCTTGGTCTCGGGAGGCAGTGTGCTCCACTGCTCTGTCTTGTCCAGGTAGCGGGAAGCAGCCAGTGTCGGAGCCAAGTAGATCATGGTTTGCTCCCCACAGCCTCGAGGAAGCCTCAAGAGGGAGGCCACGCCTCCTGGTGACAAGGCCCCCTCAGAGCCTAAAGTGTCCAATGGATCTGAGGCTACATGGGAGGGAGAGGGTGGAGGTCTGAGGACTCTGTGTCAGAGGCTCACGGGGAGTGGGACCAAGCAGGGATCCACAGGTCCCACATGAATCCGAAGGTGGCCACTGGGAAGGGACTAAAGGGCACTCCCACCTGTAACCCTGACGTAGCTGTTAAAGTCCCCATCAGGGATCATATTGGGATCAGAGTTGCCAGGTATTTCCAAGGTCCGGCCTCGGTGGTCTGGGGAAATGGGGGAAGTTGGCAGCCTGTCCTGCTGTCCACATCCCCCACCACCTGTACCCACTTAGGAAACCAATGGCTGGAGGTAGAGGGTCACTCACCCAAGGGGTTGAGTTCATAGACCAGCTCCTCTCTATGGATGGCCCCTTCCTTCTGTCTCAGGGAAAACATGGTTGTGAGGTCACACAGGACTACAGCCTGCCCTGCTAGCACAGACTCCCCCAGAACTTTGAGTTTCAACTCCAGGGACAGAGTTGGATCAGAATTGTAGAAGATGGGAACAGACCAAGGCATTGGTTTGGGTGTTGGGCCCCTGGCCTGGCCAGCAGAGAGAGTGCTGAGGGTGGAGGACAAAGCTGGGGGCCCGGGGACTTATATTCAGGGGTGCTCCATTCACCTCAATCTGCAGAACCTTGGACACCGCATCTCCCACAGGGAATTCGAAGGACCCTCGAGCCACCACCTTCAGAGACACAGCGGCGGCTGCCGTGGGCACCACAGAGAAGGCAACAGGCCGGGCAGAGCCCGCAGGCACCAGCACCTGCTGGGCCAGCCCTCCGCCCCCAGCCAGGCACAGCCCCTCCACTGGGGACACGTGGACGCTCACCTGAGGGCAGGAAAACGAGGATGGCCAGAGTCCTGGCCCGGTTAGCCTCCCCACCCCTCACTGGGCCCTGGCTCCCCCAACTCCTGTATGCTCAGGCTCCTATGGGGCCTCACAGTCAGGTTTTTATCCAGGTAGTTATAGAGGACAGGCCGCAGCTCCAGCTGCTCAAAGCGGCGGACAGACATGGGCAGGCGGAGGTGCAGGTGGAACTCGCGGAACACCCGGAGCTGGACTGGGGTGGCCACACATAGGCCTGAGGGAAAGGAAGCGTGGGCACAGGGGCAGAGATCAGAGGGGCCATCAAAGCTTCAGGGCCACAGGAGGGAGGGGTGGGGGTGACCCAGCTCTGTCTCAGTCCGCCTCTGCCCTCTGGCCCACGCCAGCTGCACGCTGGCACAGACCTCCCCAGATCACTGGACCCTCTTCCTACACTAAGAGCAAAGGGAACAGGGAGCTGGGGTACAGGGAAATGGAAGCAGGGTCACCTGAGGCCCAGACAGGGTGACATCACCTTTGGTTTTGGACAGGCTCAGGCCATGGATCTCCCACGTGGTCAGAGAGTCGGGGAGCCACAGTGTCAATCTGTGTAGGGAAAGGCAGAGAAGGCCCGTCTACCCCGGCTGGCCCCGAGACACAGCACAGAGAAAAGGCCGGGCCGGCACACACTCTCACATTTGAAAGCGGTCCACTGTTTCCACTCTCCAGAGCCAGTTCTCTGGGAAGAAGCTGCGCACGGGAATGTCATCCTCATCAATCAGGTCCTCCTCCTGCAGGATCTCCAGGGCTGGGGGACCACGGTGGACGGGAGTGAGGAGGGGACCGTTCTGCCTTTCCAAGCGCCGCCACCTGTGCCCTAGCCCCACCCAGCCCCTCACCTCGTTGGAGGCCCGCCTGGCCCTTGTCCCTGCTCTTCTTGCGCAGACTCTCAGCAAATTGGCAGCAGGACAGGAAGGGCTCCCGGCAGTCCGGCTGCTGCACGCGGGCTGCCCGCTGCTCGCAGGAACGCATCATGGGCAGACGTGTCACCCCATCCTGGCAGCAGCGCTTGGCTGTCGGGGAAGCATACTGACCCACTGCAGGGCCAGGTGGGGGTGAGCATGAGAGGACAAAAAGGACATACACCTCAGCCCCCGCCCCGACCCCTTGAGACCAGCAACATAAGAGAGGCTGCTGGAGAGAGCTGCCCACCTTCCACTCGTAATCCCGGAATTCGGATCTCTGGCCCCAAATACCACACGTGGGTTCAGCAAGGAGCCGAGGGGCAGAGAGGCAGACCCCCAACCCGGATCCCAGGTGGAGAGCCCAAGCTACTGCCTAGGCACCCGCAACTCACATTTCTCATTAATCGCCTTTTGGAAGTTCACGTTTCTCTTTTTCCGGGTTGTCTTCTCCTTGGGACAGCTTAGTCCTGGTAGAGAGAAAGGCTGCAGTCCAGCCGTCAGGCACTCGGCCTCCTCCCCTCCTCCCCTTCCCCTGCCCAGCCCTTCCTGCCCGGACTCTTCCAGCTGGTCCCCTCAGGCCCTTCCTCCTTCCTTATCTTCCCGCCACCCACTCCCCTTCCTTCTCTGTTCTCACTCTTTCTGGATAAGGTCCACTGGTCTCCATCAGAAAAGGCCAGGCCCGCTGCCTGGAACACCTGAAGGGCACTGTCCCCACCCCCAGGACCACAGCCGAGGTCATAGCTGTTCATAGCTTCAAAGACCTGCAAGAAAGGCAGGAATGCTAGGAGCCAAGTGTGGCTGAGGGGCAGGACTGAGCACTCGGCACAGGTGAGAGGGCAGCACATGGGGGGATAGGAAAGGATACAGAGCCAGGAGATGGAGACCACAGGGCCAAGTGGGGAAGAGACTGTGGGGAGCCTCAGTGGGATCCAGGGGCTGCGCCCAAGGCTCAGGGAAGCAGGGGGATGAGCCATGGAGGGGTGAGAGAGCTGTGGAGAGGGTCTGGACAAACCTTGCCCATGTTGAGGGGCTTGTGGGACTTGCTGCCTGCAGCATACAGAGCTGTGTCCAAGGCTCCCAGCGCCACCAGGGCTAGGGAGTCGGTTTCTAAGTGGAGCTTCACGGACTCCCCGTTCCGGTACTGCTTGGCACCGTCCACGCTGAGCTCCAGCTGGCAGGGGCGGCAGGTGGGGGCGGTCAGAGTGGGAGAGCTTCCTTCAGTCCCGGTATCCTCACTGCCCCCAAGCTAAATCCATGCCCTGTTGGCAATCACCCTGTCCTCAACCCCCTCGGCACAAGTGCCATCTCTCCTGACCCCGGTCACCTTGCCCTCGCAGGCCCCAGCCTGGACATCCACTCGCAGGGAGTTGGCCACTGGGTGGTCTCCATGGTAGTAGAAGGCCACAAAGTAGAAGGAGGGTGCCAGGTGATGGTCCACAAACACCGAGACCGAGGTCAGGGTCCTCTTGGGCTCTCGATTCATGAACACGATCTGCCCTCGGGATAGGATCTGGGCCAAGAATGGGAGGGACAAGAGTGGTTGCCTCTTCATGGGACAGCCTCAGCCTTGAACCCCCCCAGCCCCACCCAGAGGGCTCTTCCCTGCACCCCAGCCCTCCGTGACTCCCCAGCTCATGCACACCATGTAGTAGTAATGAGAAAAGGTGGCCCCACTGCCCACGGCTCGCAAGTTCAGGTTCAGAGTGTCCCCAACACGAGGAGGTCGAGAATCCGGCCGCTCAATAGACAGAAACCCGGGGCCTCCTGAAGGTGGGGCTGCCACAGTGAGCCTGGCTATCGCTGGATGTGGGGAGCCTGCAGATACCTGGAGAGGGGGTCAGGTGCGAATAGGGTAGTAGCTCAGAGCCAAGTACCCCACCTTCCCCCCAAGTCAGGCCATGGATCCTTGGGACCCCAGCTCACCCTCCTCCCCTTCCCCCACCATCTCCCAGGGGTCCGAGGAGTCCTACTGAGAGCTGCAGCTCTGAGATGGTCTGAGGGATAATTATTGGAATGCTGACTTGGCCGCTCCCGTCTGTGTTTTGCTGAATGTCCTGGACTTCAGGAACAGACCCAGGAGAAGACACCGTGGCAGAAACTTTGACAGGAATGCCAGAAGCTGGGGAGCCTGACATCTCACGGACCAAGGCCTAGGCAGGTAAAGGAGGGCAGGCAAAAGAGAGTGGTCAGACCCTGAGCCCTCCTAACTACCACATCCTCCCTACTCATCCTTCCCCTCTGGAAGAAACCTGCAGCAGGAAGGGGGCCCCAGGCACAAGGTGTCGCTTGGTCTTGCTAAGATCCAAGGAGAAGGGAGATGACACAAAATACCAGGATGTGAGCTCTGCCTCCTCCATCTCCCCACCTGCAAGACAAAGGACAGAGAGAGGTGGGGGACAGAGCCCAAGAAGAGAGGGACAGGAGGACAAGTGGGGAGTGGCTTGAGTGGTTCCCTCCCACAAGACAGTGAGCTCCCAGGGCACAGGCTGCCGTATTCCTGTCTGTGTTGGGAAAAGGACTTGTGGGGTGCCTGTATAAACTGGCCATAAAAATATGGGACAATAAGTTGTGGAAAGCCACAAGAGGCCTCTGAGGAGAAAAGCCTCCTAATTGCCATGCTCAGAGCGAGACCTGCTCTCTCTTATCTGTAAACACTGTATTCAAGGAGAAAGACCCTCCTTTGAAGCATTGGAATGTGGACAGACGTGCAGGCTCCTAGTTAAGCCCACTCCCACTAGCTACTCTCCGATAAGTTAAAGATATGCTGTTTGAGCACAAAGGAGATTCATTTAAAGCGCTTCTGCTGTAGATTATGCCTGTGACGCACTGCTACCCTTTCACTGTTTTGCCCTGAACATCTGCTTCTTAGATCTAAGTTATTGTACTCAATAAATAGTGTGGAGACCAGAGCTCTGAGCCTTTTGCAGCCTCCATTTTGCAATTGGCCCCCTGGCCTCCACTCTTTATGAACTCTTAACCTGTCTCTTCTCATTCCTTTGTCACCACCAGACTTCAGGTACCCTACAGGTGGTGTTGAGGCTGGTCCCCAACATTCTGGCGCCCAACGTGGGGCCCAAAAGAATCTGGTGAGGAAACGCTCAAGCATGTGAAACAGAGGACCAACGAACAAAGGACTCCCAAGGACATAAAAGTTTTAACCTCTACAGGTAAGCGGGGCGCCCAGAGAAAGCTAGGGACACAATGGGAAAAACTGAAAGTAAGTACACCACGTATTTGAGCTTCCTACGGCAGCTCTTCAAGCATGCATGGTGGGGTAAAAGTTGATACGGAAAATCTTATGGATTTGTTTCATGCTATGGAACAATTTTGCCCTTGGTTCCCAAAACAGGAAACTTTGAAATTAAAACATTAAGAAGGAGTTGGAAAGGACCTTAAAAGAGCATATAGAGAAGGAAAGGAAATTCCTTTGCCTGTTTGGTCGCTTTGGTCATTGGTGCATGCAGCACTGGAGCCTTTTCAGACAGATAATGAGGCTGAGTCAGAGGAGGAGAGAGAGGAGTTTGATAATCAGAACTCTGAACCACCTCTACCGAGTACTAACAAAAAGGAGAGTCTGAAGATGATTTATGCCAATCTCCCCAGTCTCCCTAAACCTACTCAAAAAATTGTTCAGCCCACGGTTCCTGTAGAGAAATGTCCAGAATGGCCACCTCCTCCTCAGCCGAGTGGGTGCAGGGGGAGGGAGCCCGAGACTTGGCTCACCGTGCCCATTATTGCCCGACCCACAGTTCATTATGGAGATGGGGCAATTCAGGTTCACCCTACAGTTATTACAGTGAAGGAGCAATTTCCCTTAAAATGGATGACCCGGCGCCCCGTCTGGGTTGAACAGTGGCCGCTCCCTAAGGAAAAGTTGGGGGTGCTTTATAAAATAAACTACTAAAAAAAGGATATATTTCACCCACTTTCTCTCCTTGGAATTCCCCAGTATTTGTAATTAAGAAAAAGTCCGGTAGATGGCGTCAACGCTGTAATTCAACCGATGGGAGCCTTACAACCTGGGCTCCCATCCCCCACTGTGCTCCCTAAAGACTGACCGCTTGTTATTATAGATTTAAAAGACTGCTTTTTTACAATTCCTTTAGCAGAGGCAGATTTCAAAAAATTTGCCTTTACCATTCCTGCCGTTAATAACAAAAAACCTGCAGCCAAATATCATTGGAAAGTTTTGCCCCAGGGTATGTTAAATAGTCCCACAGTTTGTCAAACTTTTGTAGGCAGAACTATCCAGCCTGTTAGAGATCAGTTTCCAGATTTGTGCAGCAAAAAGTAGAGACCAACTTATTCAATATTATTAATCTTTGCAAAAGACAATTACAAATGCTGAATTACTTATAGCACCTGACAAAATTCAAACAACCACTCCTTTTCAGTATTTGAAAATACAAGTACAGGATAGAGCCATTAAGCCTCAAAAGGTTCAAATTAGAAGAGATTCTTTCAAAACCTTAAATAATTTTCAAAAATTGTTAGAAGATATTAATTGGATTTGGCCCAATTTAGCAATTCCTACTTATGCTATGTCTAATCTCTTCTCAATATTGAGGGGAAATACCAACTTACGCAGTAACAGAGAACTAACACCCGAGGCCATGAAAGAGTTATCAGTAATTGAAAACAAAATTCAGCAAGCCCAGGTCAGTAGGATTGACTCAGACTTGCCTTTATAATTCATTGTGTTCCCTACTTCACACTAACCACACAATAATGGGGGTTATTGTTCAAAATGATGATTTAGTTAAATGGTCCTTTTTGCCACATAATACCATAAAAGCACTTACAGTATACTTAAATCAGATGGCAATTCTAATTGGACAGGCTCATATATGAATTATTAAACTTTGTGGCACTGAGCCCAATAAAAATTATAGTTCCAATAAATAAAAATCAGGTTAAACAGGCATTTATTAACTCAGTTACATGACAGATTAATTTAACAAAATTTGTTGGATGTATTAATAATCATTATCCTAAAAACTTTTCAATTCTTAAAATTAACTACATAGGTTCTTCCAAAAATTACTTGTGATGCCCCTTTGGAAGGAGCCATAGCTGTTTTTACTGGTGGGTCTGGTAAACATGAAAAAGCAACAGTCTGGTGGAGACCACATAATCCAATCACTTGATCTGAATTTACTAACATTCAGAGAGCTAAGGTTATTCTGTGTATTTATTTAAAAACTATTACAGCCTTAAGTTTGCTCTGGAGCCCACTCTGTGTGGTCTTTTTCTTCAACTTCAACAATTACTAGACCAAGGTACACATCCTACTTTTATTACACACATTCGAGCCCACAGCTCTCTGCCTGGCCCATTGGCTTACGGCAATAATCAAGCAGACCTTCAGGTTATGACATCACTGCTTGACCAAGCCACCCAATCACATCGATTATTCCACCAAAATTGGAGAAACTTATCTAAATAATTTCAACTTACACAGAGGCTGGCTAAACAAATTATCCCACAATGCCCAGATTACCAGCTCACAGGCACATACCCTCCTTCAATAGGTGTTAACCGTAAAGAATTGGAACCTAGTCAGTTCTGGCAAACAGATGTTAAACACATCCCTAAATTTTAAAAACTAAAATATGTACATACATCCATTGTTACCAACACTCATCTAATTATTACACATTTAAAAAAATAAAAGTAAAAAAAAGACTAAGACAAAAATCAAAAAAATACAAAAAAGTAAAAAAATTTAAAAAGTTATAAAAATGTACCTTTAGTAAAAAAATTATAAAACATAAAAAGTTAAGACATGTTAAAAATTGTCTGTAAAAGTCATAAAAAAAGTTATAAAAAATTTATATAAAAAAGGTTGTTTAATTTTGTTTTAAAGATCTAAACAAGTTTTAAAATGATAATTGTAAAAAATTCCGTGTGTAAACGTATTTACTAAAGTTAAAAAGATATCATCCAGTTTTCTATAAACTAAACATTAAAATAAAACACAAGTTTTTCTTAAAACACTAACCTGCTCTTTAAAAATTGTAAAAAGTCTCTTAACACAGACGCCACTCCTAAAATTTCCAGTACCAGCCTAAAGACTACATCCTCATCAAAGGATAAAAAATTAAAAAATAAAAAAACATTTGAACCAGCCTAAAAAAGACCCTACAGGAACTACAGCCTCAACAATGCGACTTCCACAAACAACACAGGCCTCAGACATTATACTAAAAAAACAAAAGTCTAAGCCAAATAATTTATTCATTTTTAATTCTCTCACTTTGCCTACTACCTATACCTGCTACACTGTATTAAGCTCGTATCTTAAATCCGCCTTTCTTCTGCCCTGTTACTTTAACAAACACCCCCTTCTCAGCTTCTAATAACATAACTGCTTAGCTAGAATAAATTAACATACCCCCAGTGGGGTTCCTCATTAATAACATATAGTAAACTAAGATGCCAAGTAACACTACAGGTCACTCTTTTACTAAAAAAAAAAGTTACTAATTATACTCATGTTTGTCTTCTGTTATTTACTAATCCTAGAATACAAAGCCAAAATAAAAACAGTGACCTCCTCGCCTAACAAACCTGTGGCTACAACAGCCCAAAATTATACCTATTGGGCATGTGTCCCATTCCTGCCTTTAATTAGGCCTGTCACATGGTTAAAACCCCCAGTTGAAGTTTATGTTAATAATAGCGTTTGGATCCCTAAGCCTACAAATACTCATGGGCCCTCTCACCCAAAGGAAAAAAAAAAAAGTTAATAAATGTGTCCATAGGTTATCAGTTCCCCCCTCTTTACATAAGGCCAACTATCGGTTGCCTAAAAGGCTACCGACAACATTGACTAGTTAAAATTCCAGGTCATAATCAAAGACCAGTATCCTATCATTTATTTTCTGGATGGAGCCCGGATCATTCACAGAGTTCAATTCAATTAACAGTTTAAGCCCCCAAAAAAGAGGTGCCAACAACCTTAACAATGGTCAAATAATTTAAAAATATTAATTAAAAAAAATTACATCTCTGATCACACTATGGTACTACAAAATAATTCCTATGAAATTGTCATTAATTGGTCCCCTGAGGGGACCTTTACAGTTAATTGTACCCATCAAAATAATAAATACAAGACAAAACTAAAACAGAAACTATACTATCAAAAAGGTAACACTACTTACACTGAAAAACGTGCTCATTTTCCCATAATTTGGACCAATTTTAGTACAGCTGGCCCACATCCCAAAATAATTAATCCAATAATAGGCCCTAAACACTCCAAATTATGAAAGTTAATAATGGCCCAATCTCATATTTAAGTTTAGAAAAAAATATATTATCTTTAAAAAAAAAAGGTTAAAAACTTCAATTTGCGTATCAGTTTTCTTCCAACAAAACAGTGCCCATTCAGAGTTGTGTCAACCCTCCTTTTATGTTAATGGTCAAAAATATTGACATTCGACCTAATTCTCAAACTATTACTTGTCAAAACTGTCACCTTTTCACCTGTATTAATTCCACGTTCGGTGTAAAAACATCTGTGTTACTGATAAAAACTAAGAAAGGAGTTTGGATACTGGTTTCCCTCAATAGACCTTAGAAAGCCTCTCCTTCCATTCATATTGTCACAAAAATGTTTTAAAAAAAAGTGTTTACCAAAACAAAGAGATTTATTTTTACCCTTATAACAGTCTTATGGGCCTTATTGCAGTCACAGCTACTGCTGCGGCTGCTGGAATTGCTTTACACTCCTCTGTTCAAACTACAAAATATATAAATAGTTAACAAAAAATTCCTCAAAATTGTGGAATTCTCAGACCCAAATAGACCAACAATTGACAAATCAAACAAATGATCTTAGACAGACTGTTATTTAAATGGAAGATCGTACAATAAACTTAAAACATCAATTAGAAGTACAATGTAATTGAAATACTTCCAATTTCTACATAACTCCCCATTCGTATAATACTACTAAACATCATTTTTAAAAAGTTAGACATCATCTAAAAGAAAAAAATAAAAATTTAACATTAAATATAACCAAATTTTAAAAAAACAGGTTTTTAAAGCATCTCAGGCTCATTTAACCCTCCTGCCTGAGACTGACATTCTCATTGGAGCTACTGACGGACTTTCAAACATAAATCCTCTTAAACAGATTAAGACCATTAAAGGATCAACTATTACAAATTTTACTTTAATGTGTATCTGTTTATGCTGTTTACTTTTAGTCTACAGATGCAAAAGACACTTCTGAAAACAGACCAAACACCACAAATAAGCCATAATAGCAATAGCGGTTAAAAAAAAAAAAAGGGAGGGGGGCATGTTGGGAAAAGGACTTGTGGGGTGCCTGTATAAACTGTCCATAAAAATATGAGACAATAAGTTGTGGAAAGCCACAAGAGGCCTCTGAGAAGAAAAGCCTCCTAATTGCCATCATGTTCCCATGCTCAGAGTGAGACCCCCTGTCTTATCTGTAAACACTCTGTTCAAGGAGAAAGACCCTCCTTTGAAGCATTGGACAGACATGCAGTCTTCTAGCTAAGCCCACTTCCACCAGCTACTCTCCGATAATTTAAAGACATGCTGTTTGAGCACAAAGGAGATTCATTTAAAACTCTATTGCTATAGATTACGCCTATGACCCACTGCCTCCCTTTCACTGTTTCTCCCTGAACATCTGCTTCTTAGATCTGAGTGACTGTACTCAAAAAATAGTGTGGAGACCAGAGCTCTGAGCCTTTTGCAGCCTCCATTTTGCAATTGGCCCCCTGGCCCCCACTCTTTATGAACTCTTAACCTGTCTCTTCTCATTCCTGTGTCACCAATGGACTTCAGGAACCCTACGGGTGGCGTTGAGGCTGGTCCCCAACATGTCTGTGCATGCTGAGGCCTAGCACGGGGCATTGAACAACACATGTCCACTGGAGGAGTGAAGGAATGAGCAGAACGAGCAAAGAAATAAATAAACTCAGCCAGGGAAAAGGGCCGAGTCACAGAGACAGAGTTGGAGAGAAACCAGGTCTCCTGGGTGTTTCCTGGTTTTGAGTCTGAGATGAGATGTGAGAAGTGGGGTGGTGTTGGTGCTGGAGGACAGAGGGTTAGCTCAGAGGTCAGAGGCAAGGGTCTGGGGTTACAATAAGGGAAAGTCACCCACCTGGATACTCAATGATGGCTGCAGCAACGTAGAGGCGCAGCCCCTGGAGGTCAGTAATGCCCATATTCAGCTTCTCCAGGGCGTCCTGGAACTCTGCCTTTGAGAGGGAAATGTGGCTCTGTCCATTCACCAGCTGGGGCATAGAAAGAAACAGGACATAGGGTGAGACTGAGTCTCCCACCTCACCTCCCTTGCCCCTTCCCCTCCCCAGCCCCTATTCTCCTTCCTACCTTGGTCTGACTCTCCAGCCCCCGAAAGAAAGTCTTCTTACCATCCTCATCTAGGAGCCCAAAGCGCACATATGCCACCCCCTGCACTGGCTTCCCATAGATGTACCTGTCGTGGCAGAGAGAAGAGGGTGGGCCAAGGGCTGGGGGGAATAATGGCCCGAGGGCAGGGAAGCAGGAGCCCATTCATACTGAGTAGGGAGCAGGACCCGGTGCTGGTGGGCAGAGGTGGGGAGGGAGGTATTACCTGGCCTGGATGTCTAACTGCATTTCATCAAGATGGCCTGGCACCGTCAGGATGTAGGGCTTTCCAGGGGTGATCTTCACCTCAAAGTTGGGAAGGACTGACCCAGGGTGAAGGGATAGGCAGGTCAGACTCCAGCTCAAAGACTCCCCTCTGCTCAGGGCTGTGGCACCCATATCTCCCTGCCCTGAGCTGCTCCCAGTACCTCTCCTTCCACCCTTATTTCCTTCAGGAAAGCAGCTGCCTGTCCCTCCAGTTTCCAGCTCTCACCATATTTCTTCACCTCAAACTGGGTGCTGCTGTTGGATTCCAGGCCATCTGAGAATCGGGCTGAGATCTTCCAGGTCCCTGGCCTGAGAATGGACAAGGAAGGGGCTCAGCCCATCTGTACAGTGGGGCACGGAGAGCCAGCAGCCTGCTTCCCTGGGAAGAGGACTGTGGGGGTTAACCAGAGGCTCAGGAGGCTGAGGGTCAGGGCATCTGGGGACGTGCCTCTGTGTGGGAGGTGGAGAGCCTAACAGGAATTGGGGTGGTGTAGCTTGGGGGCAGCCCCCACATTGGGAGCGCTCACTCTGAGATGTCTGGGATCACAAAGTCATCCTGGAAGATGGACGAGGGCATGTACACCTCCTTCTTCCGCACGCGGAGGCCGTGAGAGTTCTGCAAGGGGAGAAGTGCTCACAGGCAGGAGGTCACATCAGTGGCCAGGATCAGGAAGGCCAGAGGTCGGGGACTCACCTCCACCATGACTGTGATGGTGTCAGTGCTCGGGCGCATCTTCTGATCCAGAGCAAAGACCCGGTACCGAACTGGGAGTGGAGGAGGAGAGAGGTGAGCAGGGGTCCATGTGCAAGGGGAGGGTGGGTCAAACTCCACAGAGGGAGCAGGGGACAAATGTTTCCTAAGCACCCCTTCTGTGTGGCACTTTCTTTCAGGTTATCTCACTTAGGGGGCACCAAACTCATCCTGAGAGGGCTCGGAGGGGGTTAAAGGTTGAGGCCCTGGGGCTGAGACTCACCCCGCTGGCCAGGGTTGTAAATGGGCTGGTCCGTCTGCAAAAAGAGGTGCCCCCGGCGAGAGGAGAAGAGCAGGTTGATACCCTGGATGTTTGTCGTTCTGGACAGAGAGTCCTTTAGCCATGGCGAATGGGCCACCAGCTGGACCTCAGGGCCTCTGAGGAGTTGATGGAGGCCACAGCTCTTCGCATCTTTCAAGGGCACCTGTCAGGAGAGGGAGAGGGAGAGGGAGCGGGTCACAGAGCAAGAGACAGCTGACCAAAAAGGACAGAGACCAAGGGAGAAACGTGGAAGGAGAATGCCAGGGTGGGAAGACAGGAGGGGAGGAGGCCAGTGGGAAGATGATGACACTTACAAGACAGATGGGAACAGGGCAGGAGGCCCCCACAAGCAGCAGGAGGGCATGGGGTCTGGTTACCTGGAGACTGAGGAGTGCGAAGTCTCTTTCTGAGCTAAGGGTGAAGTCCACCTTTGGGGAGCAGGGGACATTATTACGAGATGGGTTTCTCAGGAACACTGATCCTTTCACTACCTGTCCTCGGGGCACATCCTGGAGCTGCACCCCCACCGATAGGGGGACCCCCAGATGAACCACAGAAGGAGAGAACAAGAGCAACCTGGGGAGAACAGACAGGATCAGCAGTCAGACTTCGCTCTGACACCTCCACCCCTGCTCTCCCTCACTCCTGAATCGGGTCCCGATGCCAGCCCTGCCCCAATCCAAGCACCCAGCATCCCGCCTCCAGGACCTGGGCTTCTGCAGAGATAAGGTGAAGAAGCTGGATGCCCAGATCAGCCCCCAGAGCAGCCTCATGGCTGGAGGATCCAAGAGAGGTTAGATCCGTCTGTCTGTCTGCTACCTTCTGGCCAAGCTAGGCCTCGGGGCAGAGTTGACTCTGGACCTTGCTCCTCCCCCAGCCCAGCTAAGCTGGGAAACCACGTGACAGCCAAGAAGTGCAACTGGCCTCAGGCCCAGAGTTGTGGGGGCACCCCGGACACCTGGGTGTCCATGGGAAACTCTGAATCTTGGCCCAGAAATAACCCTGTCCTTCCCCGTTAACTCCTCTCATTCCAGTGCCTGAGCACCTCCCCCTACCAGGTATATCTGTATCAGGGTATAGGTGCACACAAGCTCATGTATACCTGGGCGTACAAGGGCCCAACATGGCCCACGAGTACAGGATATTTAAAGGCCCTCACAAAACAATGACAGGCTTCTAAGACACTTGTCTCTTACTTTCATTCCAACACAAATTGAACTATACTAGGCTTTTGCTTTTTTAGGCCCTAACAGAAATTCCGTGGTTTAGGAGATTAGGTACACCCTCACCACTCCACAGGGAGAATGGCCTGAACGTCAGAGTGAACCCCTGACCCCTTTCCTCTCTGAATGAGGCAAAGCTCAGACTTCACCTCTACCCCTAAACAAGGCACCCAAACACACGTCACAGTAAATAAAGGACATCCAGAAAATATCACAGGCAGAGGTACTTTATTTGGCAATTTTAACATGACACGTAGAGAAAAGAACCCTGCCCTCCTTCACCAGCCTCCCCAGAAATCCCACCTTCCTATTTCAAGACAGAGTAATAACAGCACCATTTTACACGAAAGGGAACAGCCACAGCCTTGGCACCATTTCTGGTTCCACTTTCCATGGAAGGGCAGAGAAGCATTGCTCAAACCCCACCACTGGGTCAGAAACCAGGCAAACAGCAGCAGTCACATCTGACCTTTTGCACACACGAGAGCCCGACACTCATCCTGGCTCCCAAGCCTTCCCAAGGTGACCCTGTCTCAGCCACCATCATGCAGCTCTTCTAGTCCCCTCCCGGCCCACTCTGAGGAGCTGAGCAATGATGAGCAGAATCTTCATGTCTCTGGCAGGCGGAGGAGGGTTCCTGAAGTGGTAGAGATGCTGTGCAGGAGAAAGACAAGGCTGGAGCCAGACGCCTAGGCTCAAGCTGTGAGGAGAACTTAGAACTTGGGAAGGGGTGCTCCCGGGTTCCAGAGAAGAATGAGAGCCACTGGCCTTCACTAGGAAACTAAGCATGAGCTGGGAGGAAATCCCACTTTGGGTCATTGCTCCATAATCTGCCAGAGGCCAGGGAAAGACTCACCAGTCCACTAGCTGGGCCCCAATGAGGTCGTGCACATGGTAGGTGAGGCCAAGCCGCACCACGACAGGCGCCCGCCGGCCCAGGAGCTCTGATAGGAGCAGTTCCCGGTACTTTGCCTTCCGGACCATGCTAAGGACAGCCTGGCGCCCTAGAGGAGAAGTGGCACAGGAAAGGGGAAAGGTGAATAAGGCCTAGAGGCCTGAGGAGCCACCAAAAGGTGAGGGGCTGCAGGCTTGAGCTGCAGATGGGATACCTTTAACAAAGTACTTGATGAATCTCCCAGCTCCAGGCACAGCTAGCCACCAGCTCCCAGCATCTCGGACGGTGAGGACTCCAGCATTCACCAGATGCCTGAGGGCAGTGGGAAGCCAGCAGAGATGAGGGCTGGGCTCTGAGAACCATCTCTCCTCCTCATCCATTAATGTTTACACAAGTCTCCAGAAACACGGGCAACCATGCAAGAGAGACTGGATAACAAAATCCCAGCCTGGGGTGGTTCTGTGCTCGCACCAACTGCCTCTGTTGGTGCAGTTGCTTGTTCCAGGCCCCCTACCTGGACTGCCCTCCCTCCACTTTTTCTTTTCCTGCTACTATTACTGGTTCAGTTAAATAGCTTCTCTTCCCTGACCACATGTCCTGACACACATTCGGTCTTAGGACCGAGGAGAGGAATCAGAGTCTTCTGCGCTCCTGCCACTGCCTAGGCAGACTGCGCCATGGCTCCCACCACATCTCTCTGAGAGTGTGTCTGCCCATGTGAGATCAGTGCTATAGTTTTTCAAATGCTTTCACATATTCCATGGGTTACAAAGTAGGAGGCCTGAGCCAGATACAGCCTCTCAAAATTAGATTTTTATTTAGCTCCTGCCCAGTTGTTTTTTAGCTTTGGGTTTTTTTTGTTTTAATGTGAATGTTTAGGGGTATCCCAGCTCCTACCATTCTCTATCCTCTTAGTCCCAGTATGATTAACATCAAGCTTTTACACTTCCTGCCAGGCCCCTGTGTGCTTTTGATAAGCCACCAAGAACTGAATTCTATTTCAGGGCTCTTTCTAAGGCCCAGGTAAGATAGGCCTCCTCTCTTGTGGGGAGGAATACAAACTTGGGTCATTTTATTAAAAAGAAGAGTCAGCTTTTTGGCAGCTTTTCTGGCAGGTTCACCAAAAAAACAGGAGGACAGGCTGGATGGAACTGGAGGGAGGCAGGGAAGCACCAGATGCCTGACTTTGGTTGGTTCCACAAGTCTCACGTGATTTCTGAGTCCCTGAAGCCAAAGGTCTGTGTCATTTGGTCCTGCTGGAAACTAAGGTCCCCACAGGCTGGAAGTACTGAAGCTAGAAATTTCTGCACTGCCCCAGCATACGGTCGGCCATCACAGGCCTTGAGGACCTACAAGCAGAGATGAGAGACATGGTCCATCCCCACCCTCACTCTCTACCAACCTCCACCCCCAGGACAGCATTTCTCTTCCTGTCTTACCTCTTGCTCAGATCCTTCCACCTCTCATACCCTTCTTCTTCCTCCTCCTCTTCATCCTCCTCCCCCTCTTCCTCCCCCCCTCCTCCTCCCCCTCCTTCCTTCCTCCTCCTCCCCCTCCTCTCCCCCCCTCTTTACCCTCTCACTCCTCCCTCTTTCCCTCCTGTCTCTCTCCCTCATATTACTATTTACCAGGGCCCTGTGCCCTCTCCATGGGATGTGGGGGCAGGGAAATTCTTTCTTTTGTTTTTATTTCTGTTTCCCAACTTCCCTGTCTCCCCCAACCTGTGCCCTCCCCCCAGCACCCCTGACGCACACAGTCACATACTCTGGTCCTGTAGTCCTCAGTGAAGATAATTCCATGGGCATCCAAGTCGAAGCCCAGCTGGACGATTCTGATCTCCCCCTGCTCTTGAAGCTCCTTCTGTCTCCACAGAGAAGAGAGTGAAAAGAGGCGTATCAGGGTAAGATGCTCTGCTATACTCTGGGTGCTCTCAGGCAGGGAGATTTTGTTTGCCAATATGGGGGCATTTTCTCTTAGTAAAGGAAAAACTGTGTGAGAAAATAATCAAGCAAATGACCAAGCAGCCTTTTCCAACTAGCTACCCACATTCTCATCCACCTGCCTTATATATGGTCTATCAAAGAGTCAATATAATTTCTAAGACCAGGCACTAAGATAAAATAGTGATTAAGATGCAGGCTGTGGCTTCAAAACATTAACAGTCTAAATTCTGGGTAGGGTAAGGTGGGGAGGAGTATGGGATTCAATGTTTAAAACAAATAAAAATAAACCAGGACTTCTGTTTACGAGAATACAGCAAGAACTAATCCACCTGTTGAAAATTAACTAAAATCCTGGATAAAAATGTTATTTTAAAATTGTTTAAGACCAGGTACAGTGGCTCATGCCTGTAATTCAGCATTTTGGGAGGCTGAGGTAGCAGGATCAATTGAGGACAGGAGTTCGAGACCAGTCTGGGCAACACAGTGAGACCCCCCCACCCGCCACATCTCTACAAAAAATGTAAAAACAGCCAGGCGTGGGGGCAGACACCTATGGTCCTAGCTACTTGGGAGACTAAGGCAAGAGGATCACTTGACCCAGGAGTTTGAGGCTGCAGTAAGATATGATTGCAACTGGGCAACACAGTGAGACCCCATCTCTTAAAAAAAATTGTTTAGACACTAAAGAGCTCACAGGATAACAGGAATTACCACTAATATAACATCTAAGTAGGCCGGGCGAGATGGCTCAAGCCTGTAATCCCGGCACTTTGGGAGGCTGACGTGGGTGGATCACCTGAGGTCAGGAGTTCAATATCAGCCTGACCAATATGGTAAAACCCCGTCTCTACTAAAACTACAAAAATTAGCCGGGCGTGGTGATGTGTGCCTGTAGTCCCAGCTACTCAGGAGGCTGACACAGGAGAACTGCTTGAACCCAGAAAGTTGCTATGAGCCGAGATCATGCCACTGCGCTCCAGCCTGGGTGACAGAGTGAGACTCTAACTCAAAAAATAAAAATAAAAATAACTGGGGCCGGGCACGGTGGCTCATGCCTGTAATCCCAGCACTTTGGGACGCTAAGGGTGGATCACTTGAGGTCAGAAGTTCAAGTTCAAGACCAGCCTGGCCAACATGATGAAACCCGGTCTCCATTAAAAATACAAAAATAGGCCAGATGCGGTGGCTCATGCCTGTAATCCCAGCACTTTGGCAGGCTGAGACGGGTGGATCACGAGGTCCGGAGATCAAGACCATCCTGGCTAACACGGTGAAACCCCATCTCTACTAAAAATACAAAAAAAAAAACAATTAGCCAGGCATAGTGGCGGGCACCTGTAGTCCCAGCTACTCGGGAGGCTGAGGCTGGAGAATGGGTGAACCCAGGAGGCAGAGCTTGCAGTAAGCCAAGATCATGCCACTGAACTCCAGCCTGGGTGACAGAGCGAGACTCCGTCTCAAAAAAAAAAAAAAAAAAAAAATTAGCTGGGCGTGGTGTCAGGTGCCTGTAATGCCAGCTACTTGGGAGGCTGAGGCAGGAGAATCACTTGAACTCAGGAGGCAGAGGTTGCAGTGAGCCAAGATCATACCACTGCACTCCAGCTTGGTGACAGGGTAAGACACTGTCTCAAAAAAAAAAAAGTAATTGGAACATGGAGGGCATTTATTAATCTAGGCAAATCTGCCCAGAACATTTTCAAAAGTAACTGGGCGCATAAGGAAACAAAACTCAAAGAGAGAATAAAAACAAACCCCAAAAGACAAGTAATAGTGGAATTATCCTTTCCACGGTCTCCCTCTGATGCCGAGCCGAAGCTGGACTGTACTGCTGCCATCTCAGCTCACTGCAACCTCCCTGCCTGACTCTCCTGCCTCAGCCTGCCGAGTGCCTGCGATTGCAGGCGCGCGCCGCCACGCCTGACTGGTTTTCGTATTTTGTTAGTGGAGACGGGGTTTCGCTGTGTTGGCCGGGCTGGTCTCCAGCTCCTAACCGCGAGTGATCCGCCAGCCTCGGCCTCCGGAGGTGCCGCGATTGCAGACGGTGTCTGGTTCACTCAGTGCTCAATGGTGCCCAGGCTGGAGTGCAGTGGCGGGATCTCGGCTTGCTACAACCTCCACCTCCCAGCCGCCTGCCTTGGCCTCCCAAAGTGCCCAGAGTGCAGCCTCTGCCCGGCCGCCACCCCGTCTGGGAAGTGAGGGGCGTCTCTGCCTGGCCGCCCATTGTCTGGGATGTGAGGAGCCCCTCTGCCTGGCTGCCCAGTCTGGAAAGTGAGGAGTGTCTCTGCCCGGCCGCCATCCCATCTAGGAAGTGAGGAGCGTCTCTGCCCGGCCGCTCATCGTCTGAGATGTGGGGAGCGCCTTTGCCCCGCCGCCCCGTCTGGGATGTGAGGAGCGCCTCTGCCCGGCCGCGACCCCGTCTGGGAGGTGAGGAGGGTCTCTGCCCAGCCTCCCCGTCTGAGAAGGGAGGAGACCCTCCGCCCGGCAGCCGCCCCGTCTGAGAAGTGAGGAGCATCTCCGCCCGGCAGCCGCCCCCTCCAGGAGGGAGGTGGGGGGGTCAGCCACCTGCCCGGCCAGCCACCCCGTCCGGGAGGTGAGGGGCGCCCCTGCCCAGCCACCCCTACTGGGAAGTGAGGAGCCCCTCTGCCCGGCCAGCCGCCCTGTCCGGGAGGGAGGTGGGGGGGTCAGCCCCCCACGCAGCCAGCCGCCCCGTCCGGGAGGGAGGTGGGGGGTCAGCCCCCCACCCGGCCAGCCGCCCCGTCTGGGAGGGAGGTGGTGGGGTCAGCCCCCCCCGCCCGGCCAGCCGCCTCGTCCGGGAGGTGAGGGGCGCCTCTGCCCGGCCACCCCTACTGGGAAGTGAGGAGCCCCTCTGCCCGGCCAGCCGCCCCGTCCGGGAGGGAGGTGGGGGGGTCAGCCCCCCGCCCGGCCAGCCGCCCTGTCCGGGAGGTGAGGGGCGCCTCTGCCCGGCCGCCCCTGCTGGGAAGTGAGGAGCCCCTCTGCCCGGCCACCACCCCATCTGGGAGGTGTGCCCAACAGCTCATTGAGAACGGGCCACGATGACAATGGTGGTTTTGTGGACTAGAAAGCGGGAAAAGGTGGGGAAAAGATTGAGAAATCGGATGGTTGCCGTGTCTGTGTGGAAAGAGGTAGACATGGGAGACTTTTCAAAAAAAAAAAAAATAGTGGAATTATCAAAAAGACAATTAAAAAAAAAAAAAACAGCACTTTGGGAGGCCGAGGCAGGCAGATCATCTGAGTCAGGAGTTTGAGACCAGCCTGGCCAACAGGGTGAAACCCCATCCCTATAAAAATACAAAATTAGGCCGGGTGCGGTGGATCATGCCTGTAATCCCAGCACTTTGGGAGGCCGAGGAGGGCAGATCACGAGGTCAGGAGATCAAGACCATTATGGCCAACATGATGAAACCCCCATCTCTACTAAAAATACCAAAATTAGCTGGGCATGGTGGCGCGTGCCTGTAGTCTCAGCTAATCAGGACAGTGAGGCAGGAGAATTGCTTGAACCCAGGAGGCAGAGGTTGCAGTGAGTTGAGATCACACCACTGCACTCCAGCCTGGGCAACAGAGCGACACTCCACCTCAAAAAAAAAAAAAAAAAAGGGAAAACTAAGGCAACAATGACCACAGCAGTCACCTCCCAGGGACATTCTGATCAGAGACATTTTGATCAGAGAGGGATATATGTGGGATACTGGTCATATTCTATAGTTTGACCTAGGGAGTGGCTAGATAGGTATCTGCTTTATAAACATCATTTAAATTATATATGTTTATATTTTCATTCTGCAACTTTTAAAGGTTTTTAAAAACAAAAGCTAACACCAATACATTAAAATCAACAAATACTCCTTAAGGAGTGGTTCCATCTGGCATGCTTCCTCACGGGAGACCTAGTCAGGGAGACTAGCTCACCTCAAGTGAGTGCTAGACTGCCTTCCTTTTCTTTCCTCTTTTCTTGAAAGATCACTATTAACCTTCTACCTGCTAAATCCAATGGACAGATTTCAGTTCTGGGTTTTTTTGTTGTTGTTTTCATTTTTTTAGAGACAGGGTCTCCCTCTGTTACCCAGCCTGGAGTGCAGTCGTGCAATCATAGCTCACTGCAGCCTCAAATTCCTGGGCTCAAGCACTCCTTCTGCCTCAACTTCCCAAACAGCTAGAACAATAGGTGCACACCACCATGCCCAGCTAAGAATTTTTGTGTTTTAATTTATTTATTTAGTAGAGATGGGATCTCAGTTATTTAGTAAAGATGGGGTCTCACTTTGTTGCCCAGGCTGGTCTCAAACTTTTGGTTTCAAGCTATACTCCTGCCTCAGTCTCCCAAAGTGGTGGGAGTACAGGCATGAGCCACCACACTCAGCCTAGATTTCAGTTTATATTTTACTTTACCTCTTCCCTCTTCTTAGACCACTGTCTTGAATCACAGGTTCTAATACTGCCAACTACTTCACTTTCTCAAAAATCTCTTTACTTTCACAGTAGGCCTCTTCCTGGGTTACTTTTTTTTTTTTTTTTTTTTGAGACAAAGTCTAGCTCTATCACCCAGGGTGGGGTGCAGCGGTGCTATCTCAGCTCACTGCAACCTCCGCCTCCCCAGCTCAAGCAATCCTCCCACCTCAGCCTCCCCAGTAGCTCTATAGGCGCGTACCACCACGCCTGGCTAATTTTTGTATTTTTTGTAGAGATGGGGTTATGTCATGTTGCCCATGCTGGTATCAAACTCATGAGCTCAAGAGATCCACCCACCTCGGCCTCCCAAAGTGCTGGGATTACAGGTGTGAGCCACCGCGCCGGCCTCTGGGTTCCTCTTAACTCAGGCAAGTCCCTCTCTGCCTCTGTCACAGATTCCTCTTCTTCTGCTTTCCCTTTATGTCAGTGGATCTCAAATTTTAAGGCACACTTAAAAAGCACTTGAGGCAGTTCAAAAATGTAGAGTCCCAAATCCCGCCCCAAGAGAGCGTAATTCATTAACCTTGGATGAGTCCCAGGAACCTGTATTTTTTTTAACAAGCAGCCCACGTAATTTTGACACAGGCATAATAACTCAGCTCATATATTCAGTAACACTGCCTTAAATGATGGTGTTTCCCAGCATTGTGGATTTGACCCTATTAACTTCCACTCTAAACCTGGAGTCCTTAACCACGGACCTCGCAGGATTAGTAAAATATTTCCCCCCTAACTATACATACACCCTATGTATATGTGGCAAACGTGCATTTTTCTGGAGAGAGATAGCCATAGCTTTTATCACCTTCTAAAGATTACAAAAAGGTTAGAAATCACTCCTCTACCCACTCTTCCTACTGGATCTCACCACATCACAGAATTAACCACTTGCTATTCACACCTCCATGACTTGTAATTCTATTATCACTGGCCCAGAATTCTCTCCAACTCTCATATCCAACTGTCTAATACCTTTGTCTTTGGATGCTCCACATGCACCATCAACTCAACTTGTATAAAATTAAACACATTATCTGTAGTCCAACAACTAAATGTGCTCCTAATACCACCAGCCACGCAGTCATCTGGAAAGTCTGAGTTGTCCTGGACTCCTCCCTCTTCCTCACTCTCCTCTCCCTCCCTACTGCACTGACCTAATTTAGGCCTTCACCACTTCTCAGATGCAGTATCTTCTTAGCTGACCTCCCTGCCTCATCCACTATCTCCAATACACCATTCCCTCTCTCTATGATATTCTCTACCAGCCCATCGCCTCAGTGTAAGATGGAAACAACACTGATGTACAAGGCCTGTCATGATCTGACGTCTGACTGCACTCCCAGCGCTGTATGTTCGAACCATGCCCCATGACTCGGTTTCCCCAAAAGCCTCGTTCTTCTACCTCCATGATTTGAAATGCCCTGTACTACCTGCGGGACTTTTAACAGGGTCTCTGTGGCACCCCAGTGCCTGGCACAGTGCCCTCGCCTGAAAGGCCTAATGCTTGCTGAACGGCTGGCGGAGTGACTGAGTGACAGGGAATTCCAGGAGTTAGGAAAGGGGCTTCCGGCGGTCGCACCGACGCCCCTCACCAGCTGCCGGTCGGCCACGGTCCTGTCAGGCACAAGGCTGTACACCTGGCTCCTCAGCACGATGGGCGGCAGCGCGTCCTCAAACAGGCCTCGCGGGAACAGCTGCATGAGTTCTGAGACAGCCGCGCGCGCCGACCCTGGGCAGATAAATCGGCTCACGGACAGGGAACTGGGGCGGGGACGCGGTTCTAACAAAACTCTCGGCTACCGGAAGCGAGGCCCCACCCCCGGGGTTGCCATGGTTACCTGGCTCACCCCGAAGAGGATCCGACTCCACAGGCCCTCGCTTCCGCCGCCTCTTAACTCCAAAGGTCTCCGGGATCAGGTGATGCCTCTTCCAGCTCATATCCCGGGATTTTATGGTACCGGGGAAGGGGTAGGAATGGAGGGAAGAGAACCTGAAAATAGGGTCTTCCGGCGCAGAGCAGTGACGTACGGTCTCCCCGGGCGTCCCTCCTAGACCAGGTGATGACGAAAGGAGCGTCAACTTGTCGTCCCTCAGGCCCGTCAGTGCTGGGAGGGGCGGTGGCGACGCACATACCAGCATCACCTCCGCCAGGCCGGGCCCCACGCCGGCCGCGGATTGGCTCCCTCCAAGGGCACGCACGCCCGGGGACTCGTTGGCGGCGTGGAGGGGCGCCGGTGGCCACGTTGGTGTCAACCTCCTTCGTGAAGCTCACACCTCCCCCGCCCCGGGAGGGGTTTGCCCGCCACTGTCGCTGAATGATTGCATCATCGAAAGCAGAAAACCACTTTTGCATCCTTCGGCCTCTGGCGTGCCTGCCATGACGTCATAGCTCTGCGGAGGTGGAAGTTGGGGAGCTTTGAGGTAACTGGATTCTTGATCTGAGCGCAGACGTCCTTCCTAACCTCACTGCATTTGGAGGACCTGGAGGGAGGGTGGGTGAAGGGCAAGGAAAGAGGCAGGATGAGAGCTTGGCCGCGGTGGCGTCTGAGGGGCCTGAATGTTTCAAGGCCAGAGCCTGGCGATCAGGTGGCTCGCTTAGTCCTAAACCAGTCATCCTTCTCCAGGCCTCCTCTGTAGAATGGAAACTCTGTACCCCTGCTTGTCTTAGGACCTCATGGATCCCAGGGGGACCAAGAGAGGAGCTGAGAAGACAGAGGTAGCTGAGCCTCGGAACAAACTACCTCGTCCAGCACCTTCTCTGCCCACAGACCCTGCCCTCTACTCTGGGCCCTTTCCTTTCTACCGGCGCCCTTCGGAACTGGGCTGCTTCTCCCTGGATGCTCAACGCCAGTACCATGGAGATGCCCGAGCCCTGCGCTACTATAGCCCACCCCCCACTAACGGTCCAGGCCCCAACTTTGACCTCAGAGACGGATACCCGGATCGATACCAGCCCCGGGACGAGGAGGTCCAGGAAAGGCTGGACCACCTGCTGTGCTGGCTCCTGGAACACCGAGGCCGGTTGGAGGGGTGAGCAAAGCGTGGTAGGCAGTATATCTGGAGACCCGTACCTACCCTCTAAAATTAGGAGAGCCAAAGCCGGGGTGAGAATCAGTCCTTAGAAGAAACAAGACTATTCTTCGAGGGGAGCATCTCACTAATGCTTGTGTCAGACCTTCAGCCTGTAACTCCTGCCTCTCAGGGGTCCAGGCTGGCTGGCAGAGGCCATAGTGACGTGGCGGGGGCACCTGACAAAACTGCTGACGACACCGTATGAGCGGCAGGAGGGCTGGCAGCTGGCAGCCTCCCGGTTCCAGGGAACACTATACCTGAGTGAAGTGGAGACACCGAACGCTCGGGCCCAGAGGCTTGCTCGGCCACCGCTCCTCCGGGAGCTTATGTACATGGGATACAAATTTGAGCAGTACATGTGTGCAGGTGAGTTGCCCCTGCTTCATAGCCCCCTTCCCCTTCCCAGAGGTTGAGAGCCCCCCACGCCTGCTGCTGCTTCTCTCCTTGTGCAGACAAACCTGGAAGCTCCCCAGACCCCTCTGGGGAGGTTAACACCAACGTGGCCTTCTGCTCTGTGCTACGCAGCCGCCTGGGAAGCCACCCTCTGCTCTTCTCAGGGGAGGTAGACTGCACAGACCCCCAAGCCCCATCCACACAGCCCCCAACCTGCTATGTGGAGCTCAAGACCTCCAAGGAGATGCACAGCCCTGGCCAATGGAGGAGTTTCTACAGGTTCAGGATCGGGGTGGGCAGGGCGAGAGCTTAGGCTTGAAGGCTGGGAAAGGGACTTGGGGAGGAGGGTGAAGGCAGAATGGAGGGTGCACGAGGGGTCCCACTGATCCCTTGCTTTTCCTGTCAGACACAAGCTCCTGAAATGGTGGGCTCAGTCATTCCTCCCAGGGGTCCCGAATGTTGTTGCTGGCTTCCGTAACCCAGACGGTTTTGTCTCTTCCCTCAAGACCTTTCCTACCATGAAGATGTTTGAATATGTCAGGGTAAGGGAACGATGTTGCAGCTCCCACCCGTATCCCCAAACACCAAGACCACAGGTCTAGCATCCAGGGCAACAGCCTGCCTTCTCTCCTCCCACCACCCCCACTGCCCATCTTCTGCCTCCTCCTCTGCCTGCTCCAGAATGACCGTGACGGCTGGAATCCCTCTGTGTGCATGAACTTCTGTGCCGCCTTCCTTAGCTTTGCCCAGAGCACGGTTGTCCAGGATGACCCCAGGTGAGGCATTCAGCTCTGTCCCTCCCCTCTGGATCCCAGGATCCAGCCTCTGGCCCTCAACTGATGCCTCCATCTGCCCCCCAGGCTCGTTCATCTCTTCTCTTGGGAGCCTGGCGGCCCAGTCACCGTGTCTGTACACCAAGATGCACCTTACGCCTTCCTGCCCATATGGTATGTGGAAGCTATGACTCAGGACCTCCCATCACCCCCCAAGACTCCCTCTCCCAAATAGTAATGCTTTAGAGGGAGGCAGTCATATCTCTGTGTGCAGATAATAAAAGCATATTTCTAAGAGGTTCTCTCGCTGTCTTCTTAGCTGAGTCATCCCTGTCCAGCAACTCAAGCACACAACAGTGCTTTGCTGTTTTATCATCATGTTTTTACATGGGGCATTCACTGGGTGTAGAGGCTGGCCGCAAATACGATGTCCCGCCGTAGCAAGGTAGCCGCTGTCTCCATCTTGGCACCCAGCACAGGCTCTCCTACCAGGCGGGCTGCCCCCCGCAGTGAGCGACACATCTCAGCCAGGCGCTGAATGCAGCGGACCACCAGGCCCTCAGGGGTCCCTGAGAGCCCTGCCAACTCGGAGAAGGGCTGTGGGGAAAGTAGGGTGAGGACTGGATGCACTCAGCCTGGGCAGGTTCTCCCCAGCCAGCCGTCTGCAAAATCCCAAACCTCAGGTACTCACCATGCCCCGGGCCCACTCATATACAACCTCAACCAGCCCAAAATTCAGCTCCCCCACAAATTCCTCCACCGTCTGGTTCAGGCCACAAGCCACCTGGACCTCACCAATCCGCTTGGCCACAGCCCGGACACGTTCTATTCCCTGCAGGAAAGAAGGAGAGGTTAAGGCCTGCCTTCCTGCTCCAGGACAGGGAAGGACCAGATCAAGAAGGCAGCCATTTTCCATCCTTGGGGCACTTACAGGGCTGGAGGGGGTCACCTGGGGGACTACCTGAAGGTGAAGGTCAGGAATGCCACAGCCCTGGCAGGGAGAAAGGGGTGGTGTCCCCTACCTGCTTGAGGGTGTTTGGGAGCTGATCCCCAGCGTCCCCAGGGCTCTGGCAGACCAGGCCAGAGAGCAAGGCAGCAATCTCCTCAGGCCGCAGGGTGCTCAGTGCATTGTCAAACATGAGCTCAGTGAGGAGCAACTCATGGCTGCTCATGGCACAAGCCACCCGCCCTGCCAGCTTCACAGTGCCCGCCTCGTCCACGTAACCCAGGGTTCGGAGCACCTGCAAGAAAAAGGGTGGGCATTGGACACACTGCTGTCCCCTAGCCCCCCTGCCCCAACCACTGCCCCACCCACCTCTACTCGCTGATGGTACTCAGGAAGCAGCAGCAATGACTGATCCGACAGTAGGAAGCGCAGCCGCTCCATCTCCTTCTGTATCTGCATTCGCTCCCGCAGCTTCAGGTACTGCAGAGAGCCACCCGTCAGCCTTCTCCTTGCCCCTTAGCAGGGGTGCACTGAGGACAAGGGCTGAGATGGGGGCGGTCAGTCTACAGGGGACCACAGAGGAAAAGCCCCTACTCCCAGCTTGGGAGTTACCACCCAGGGTCCTACCTGGGCAGGAAAACGGGGGCTGTGTACACACTGAGCCCCCTGGATCAGCTCCTCCAGCTTCCGGGCCCGGAGCCCACCCTCTACAACTGACATATCTTTGAGCTGCAGGTCATTGACAGGGTCGAGGGTGGGAGGTCCGGCTGGGTGGGCCTGAGCCAGACGCAGCAGTTCCTGGACAGCAGTGGTCACGGCTGCAAGGGGAGGATCCTTCCTGAAGAGGGAGCAGATCTTAAGATCTGGGGTAAGATCTTCTCTCCCCCAGAAGCCTCCCTCAGGCTGTGGAAGCCCTCTTACTACAACCTCCACTTCACAGTCTCCCTTAGGCTGGGGGAGCCCCCTCACTACAACCCCACCACTTCATGGTCTCCCTCAGGCTGGAGGAAACTCCCAGACCACTGCCCCTCCCTGCCTCTACGTGCCCCTCTGGAGGAGAAGGGCCTCCCTAGCATCTCTGACTTGAATTTTGGCTGCTGCCTCTTGCTGAAGTCCTCCAAGATCTTCTCCCCATTCACCCGGAGCACCTTGGTGGTGATGGCAGCCATATCTCCTGGCTGGAGCTTGACCACGGTGTGGTCACAAGGCCCTGTGAAAAGGGGAGAGCAGGGCAGACATTGCCATGGACCCAGGCATCCTGCTTATACTGCTGGCAGAAAACAGACATCTGCCACACTCTCACCTTCAGGCAGGAACAGCTTGAATCCCACGAGGTCATCTGGATAGGGCACCTCTGCAGTGGCTGGCCCCCTGTCCTGTGGGTCCTGGGACAAGGGCTTATCACACAAGACCAGGGTTGTGAATACTCTGCTGGTGGAGTTCGAGGAGACCTGGGGGTGGTCAGAGAGGCCAGGAGAGGGGGGTGTGATGAGTAGACATCAAAGGCAGAGACCAGATACCCACCCTTGGGCAGGAATCAGGAAGCAACCATGCAGAGCTCACCAGTAGAGAGGGGCAACCAAGTCAAGCGATCAGAGCAGACTTCTTGGGGTGGTGGGAGGAAGGAGTGAGCATGATGTGGTGATGGGAAGGGAGAGGGTGAAAAGGAGGGCAAGAGGGGAAAATGAGGGCCCTATGATGACGCAACCTGCCCTGGCCAAGTGGGGAAAATGGAGAGAGGGCTTGCTCCCTCCCACCCTCTGGAGTCCAAATTCCCATCACCCTCACCTGTAGGATCACTCCCAATGCGTTGTGATGCTCCTGATTCTTCACAACCACCACCCTTCCTGCTGAGAGAGACTTCAGCCCGTTCACAGACTCCATGATGCGTCGCTGAAGAGCAAAGGACAGATGGGAGGAGGCATCACAGGGACAGACACTTGGACTAAGTTTAGTAGCACCTAGAGTAACACGATCTTCTCTTCCCTTCTCCTATCACCTCCTCAGCACTCACACTTGCTCACCTGGATCATGTGCTGGGTCTCTGTCAGTTCCTCCCCCCAGCTGTAATATTCAGGCAGGTCGACCAGTTGGCCAGTCATGTCAGGCTCCTCCAAAGCTCCCAGCCTCTTGGTCAGTTCAGCCAGGGCCTGTTCATGGGCCTTGGGTGGGAGCAGGGGAAGCTGTGAAAGGGGAGTCTCCAGGCCCAATCTGTCACACTCCCCACCCTCAACACACTGGCCTCTGGATGCCTACCTATTCCCAGCCTGTCTTTGGCCAACCTCCTGCTCCACACACTGGTTACCCCAGGCTCCTTACCTTGCTGTCTTTGCGGGAGGGAAACTCAGAGAAGCTCCTCTTCATCATGTCCTCCACCCTGAGGGCATCCACTCGCAGCAAGTTGAGGATCATAGTGTACGTGAGGCGGAACTGGGACTGCAGCTGGGACGGCTTCCCCTGGAGTCAGGTCACAGAAGTCACTGAGATCAGGGTGGGACCTACTGAACCCCAGCCAGTCTTCTGGACTGGGCCTACTCCCGTCAGATCCGGTCCTAGCTCTGCAACCATGGGGCCTTGGACAAACCACTTGCTCACCTCTTCTGTAACATAAGGGAGCAAACTGAAATAAATGGACTCAAAGGCCCCATCTAGCTCCATATTCACATGGGAGAAAACTGGAAGAGATGGGCTCCAATCTCATCCTTGGATTCACTCACTCCTACCTCAGCTTCTCCCAGGCAAAACAAAAAAGTCGGAGGAAGTTGGGCGCTGTGGCCCACACCTATAATCCCAGTACTTTGGGAAGCTGAGGCAGACAGACTGCTTGAGCCCAGAAGTTCAAGACCAACCTGTGCAACATAGCAAAACCTCATCTCTACAAAGCATAAAAAAAAAAAAAAAATTAGCCAGGCCTGTGTGGCATGTGCCTGGAATCCCACCTACTTGGGAGGCTGAGGTGGGAGGATCCCTTGAGCCTGGAAGGCAGAGGTTGCGGTGACCCGAGATTGTGCCACTGCACTCCAGCCTAGGTAACAGAGCAAGACCCTGTCTCCAAAAAAAAAAGGAAGAAGAAAAAGAAGAGAGGAGAATCGAAGACAGAATCCAGCAAGGTCCTGGAGCTGGGGCCCTGCCGAGCATGCTGGCCCGCTCACCATCATCATGCGGTGCAGGTCTGCCATCTCGGGCACTCGGCCCTTGCAGAGCAGGATAACGGTGCCTGTGGGGTCCAGGCCCCTCCGCCCTGCCCGGCCTGCCATCTGCACATACTCCCCAGGGAGCAGGTCCCGGAAGGTGGAGCCATCGTGTTTGCGCATGGAGTCAAACACTACTGTACGAGCAGGCATGTTTACTCCCATGGCAAAGGTCTCTGTGGCAAACAAGACCTGGGACAGAGGAGAACAGAAAGGATCAGCAAAGGCTCTACATACACACACCCCCAGCCCTGGCCAAGCCCACCTTACTTTGTAGGCATAAGGCACCATCCCAGTTGTTACTTATGGGATCTCACTGAACTCTCCAGGCAAATCTATAGGGCAGGTATTATTGTTTTCCTCATTTTACTTATGTAGCTACTTATTTCTATTTCTTAACTTTTACCTTCATATCCCATTCCCATCCCTGACTGCAATCATTCCAATGTATCCAACAAATATCTTTTTATATAAATATGATCTTATAGAACATGTCTTCTTTTGTGAGCTTGTAGTTTATAATTCATATAAAAAGTGGTTATATATCTGATTTTTTTTTGCTTCTTTTTCTCCACCTAGTGTTTCAACATCTGTCCATGTTCCTGTGGCCACATCTAACCCACTGCTTCCAACTGCTGCAGAACACTCTATGGGTGCATCCCCCACACTAACCTTCCCTCTCTCCCAGTGAAGGGCACCCTGGTACTACCAACACCATGCCACCACAAACAAAGGATGGGTGTACATGTTCTCTCACAGACCAGGGTGAGAATTTCTTTGTGATATATACCCAGGAATGAAATATAAGCTCAGAGTATGATATAGTTTTTGTTTGTTTCTTTGTTTGTTTTTGTTTTGAGATGGAGTCTCCCTCTGTTGCCCAGGCTGGAGTGCAGCGGTGCTATCTTGGCTCACTGCAATCTCTGCCTCCTGGGTTCAAGCAATTCTCCTGCCTCAGCCTCCCAAGTAGCTGGGACTACAGGCACCTGCCACCATGCCCAGCTAATTTTTGTATTTTTAGTAGAGACAGGGTTTCACCATGTTGGCCAGGATGGTCTCGATCTCTTGACCTTGTGATCCACCCACCTCAGCCTCCCAAAGTGCTGGGATTACAGGTGTGAGCCACCATGCCCGGCCAATATAGTTATTTTGTCTAAATAGTGCCAGCGTGCATTCCAAACTGGCTAGGCATCCCGTAAAGGATTCCCAGAACCCTACAACCTCCTATATCTCTGGCAACACTCGGCATGAACTAGTTTCCTAAATTTTACCAGTCTAATAGCTGTAAAGTCGTATCTTGTGAGTACTTCAATTTGTATATTTCTGATTACTAATAACTTTTCGAATGCTTGCTAGCTTCCTGGGTTTCTTTTCTGAGACCTACGTATTCATATCTTATGCATCCCCATTTTAAGATGGGAAACCTAAAGTTCAGGAAGGTTAAATAATTGGTCCAGGATGATACTGTGAATACATGGTGTACCTGGGATTCAAACCCAGGTAGTCTGAATCCAGAGCCCAGATTCTTAACCACAGCACTGGCCTGCCTAAACCTCTGCCCCTCTGCCCTCTGGGCAGCCCCTAAGTGGGCAACAAGCACCCTGAGGAGTCCCTTTCCACCACCACATGCACCTTGACCAGGCCACGGCTGAAGAGCATCTCCACGATCTCCTTGAGGATGGGCAGGATGCCGCTATGGTGCACACCCAGGCCGCGATTCAGGAGCTCTGACATGTGCAGGACCTTTGGTGGGAGGAGGCCCATGGTCAGGGATGGAGTCTCGGAACACCCTATCCCCACCAGTCTGCCAAATGTGTGCATGCACGCACACAGACGCACACAGACGCACCTGGGGCAGCTGGCGGTCAGAGCCACGGAGGCGAGCAAGGCAGCGCTGCAGGAAGAGGTGGATCTCGCTCTTCTCCGAACTGGTGGTGAGGTCAAGGGAGGTGAGGCCTGAGGCCTGCTCATCACAGCGGCCCCGGGAGAAGGTGAACACCACCACGGGCAACTGGGCACGTGTGCGGAGGGAGGCCAGGAGGGACAGGTACACTCCGCGGTCCTGGAGAAGGAAGGGGAAGGGGAAGGAGCAGAGGTTGAGTTCCTGAACCAATGAGAGGTGAGCTAGTGTTAACTGGGGCAGTGCTCAAAGCTCAAGTCAAAACCCCTGGGGGACAAGGGGAAAAAAAAGATAGGAGGAAAAACAGGTGCTGGCAGGTACAAAACCCTCCCAGTTCTCACCTGTGCAGGGCCCCCCTGATGTGTGGGCTGCTTGGCCCCAAAGGTCTGGGCGTGTTTGCTCATTCTCTCCTTCTTGGCCTCCACAGCTGCATAGTACCTGGGGCACAGGGAGGGGTAGCCACAATGTCCAGCTGGGGGCCCAGCCCTAACTCTTTCCCCCATCTCGAGGCTTACCCTTTTGTATGGAAGGCTCCTCGGGAGTCCAGCAACAAAAAGAGCTCCCCCTGGGTCTTGGAGCTGTTCCCTGTGAAAAGATAGTGCTCCAGGGGCACGGGGCGGGTTACAGTGCTAATCACATAGATCTGACGACGCTTCAGCCGCCTGAAGAAAGGAGAGGGAAGCAGGTCAGGGGTGGGAACGTGGGAAGGAACCCACATCCCCACCCCCTTCCCTACCCCTCCAACTTTACCCAGTCTTTTCTGAGACCCAGAATGGAAGGCTATCCCCCAACATCTCATCCCATTTCAACATGCAAAGTAATCTGGACCCAAAGGGGATCCCACAGCCACCAGGTGGGACATGTTCCCCAGCATCACCCCTAAGGCCTGACCGCTCTCCTTGCTGTGGTAGACTTAGTCCCCCACCCGAATCAAGGAGTACTGTAGCCCCCTTCACCCAGGCAACCCGGGACACACGTCTCACCCAATCCAGTCAGCAAACTCAAGGGCGTTGGGGACGGTGGCACTCAGAAGGATGATAGAAACGTGGTCAGGTAGCATGATAAGCACCTCCTCCCACACGACCCCACGCTGGGCACAGAGAGGGAAGGGAGGTCACATGAGGGCAGGGGCCGCCCTTCTGCCCATAAAGAGGCACAGGATTCCATATGGGGGTAAAGAAAGCAGTAAGGGGCCCTGAGTGTGTGGAATAAGGGAGACGCTCAACTGGTCCCAAAGGAGAGGACTGCCGGGTTCTGGGGAGCCCATGGCCCTTACCTCGACATCGTTGATATAGTGAACCTCATCAAAGATGACCCACTCCAGGTCCCGAATAACATCTGAGCCACTGTACAGCATGGAGCTGGGGAGAAGAGGCCAAGGATTGACTCCCCAGTGGCTCGTCTCCACCCACTCCTCAGACAGCACACTCTCCACAACGGCCACATCTTCCCAGCCAAAACTCCCCTGTATTGAGTGTCCATCTCTCACCGAAGGATCTCTGTGGTCATGATGAGGCAGGAGGCCTCCGGATGCAGCTGTACATCCCCGGTGAGCAGCCCCACATCCCCGAATGTGTTTCGGAAGTCCCGGAACTTCTGGTTGCTCAGGGCCTTGATGGGCGAAGTGTAGATGGTGCTGGGAAGAGAGCATGAAGTTAGCCAGTCCCTCCGCAGACTCATGGCCCGCACTTCCTCTCCCACATGGAGCCCTCGTGGAAGCATGCCCCAGAAGCTCAGGTGCTCCTCTTCTTCACCCAAACTGCCCTTACATTCTCCTGCATGATATAACCCCAGAAAAATTCTGTCCCCAACCCCTTCCTAAACTAACCCAGGTCATTCTTCTAAACTTTCTCCCCACCATGTCTTTTCATTTCTCTCTGGGCTCTTGTCTCAGTCTTAGCCCTGAACCTCTCACTTAAAGGATGAGCTAGAGAGGTGGGGGAAGAGATGAGATTTTCAAAGGATGCAGGAGAAAATGGGGCTGGCTGGTGAAGGGGGAGGTTGGCAAAGGAACTCATACCGTGTCATGTGTTTCTGGGCCAGGGCAATGGCATATTCAGCCACAACTGTTTTTCCTGCAGATGTGTGAGCTGCGACAAAGACAGAGTCATGCCGTTCCAAGTGCAGGATGGCCTGTTTCTGAAACACATCTGGCTCAAATGCCCACTATGGGAGAGAGAAATAGACAGGAGCTGAAGAAAGGAGCGGGGCCTTGCTGCCTCCTGCTCATGGAGCACGCAGGGCGGGCGGATGAAGGCCGGAGCCAGCCGAGGCTGGGACTGAGTACCAAGACTGGCCTGGGATGGATCTGACCTCTGGCCAATAGAGGAGACAAGGGGTCGGCTGGGAGTGTGACCCAGAAAGAGGTAGAGGAGCGTGTGAAGATGGGGCCAAAGTACCTGGAAGGCTGGCTGGGGAATGAGGCGATAGAAATCACCAACAGGGGAGGTGGCGTCCACAGGGATGGCCCACTGCTCCTGAGATGGAGGCTCTGGGGCCTCTGGGGTGGATACAGCTGTGGACGCTTCCTGGAAGAGTCAGGGGTAGCAGTGATAAAGATACAACCAGAGGGCTCTCAATTAGCACTCCTCCCAAAAGATGTCCCTTTCTTCCCCTCAGACCCATCCTAGCCAGCCCACATCCTGGTGGCAAGGCTCTTTCTTGCCTCCACTACACAGAACCACCAACCTTCAACACTAGGTCTTCCAAGCTGCTTGCTCGGGCCAGGGGAGCACTGCAGGGAGAGGCTGAAACAGTGTCCCCTCTGGGACCTCCTGGCTGTCCCACTGCCTCATTCTCATCCTCGTCACCCCCACCCAAATCCAGAGGCTCCAACAGACAGCTAAGGCTTAGTAGTCCAGGAGCTGGAGTTGGACAATCTGAGGAGCAAGCCAACAAGGTCAACCTTGTCATGTCCATCTCTGTTCCTTAGGAGAAGGACATGACTTCTCCTACACCCCACTCAAAAACTAAAACTAACCTTTTGGTGCAAAGTCCATGCCTTTCTTGAAACCAGGTGGAATAGTAAGAAGATCTGTAGGATAGGGACATGGAATCAGGTCACTGCACACTGGTGAACAAATTGTGTACATTATATAAACCTAAAAGATACCATTTACAGGACAGATGCTGTAGATAGGGATGTTTGCTATGACACTTTTCCAACAGATGACAGTAAAGGTTGTTGTAGAAATTTCCCAGCAGATGACAGTAAAGGTTGTTATGGACAGAATATCTTTTTCTAATTTTCTCAAAAACATGGGAGGGCTAGCAGTAGCCCAGTGATAGCCTGGGCTCTTCCTCCTCAAGGCTCAGACTCAGAGCCCCACCTTACCTTTCTCAAAGTCTATCTCCTCCTCAGCCTCCTCCCGTGTGTTCAGATCTGTTATGGTGGGTTCATCCATCCCCCCTGGGAAGAGACAGGACAGACAGGGATTCATGGGATGAGGGTAATACGAGATAGGTGGGGAACCCTTCCCTGGAGATTAAAGACACCCTCTTCTACCATCCCATCTCCACAAGAGTCACCTGGCCAGAAGGGATACTGAGTTGGATTTCCCCATAAGGACTGGGAGGCTGGCCCTGGAGGCCGGCGAAGAGACAAGGAGGTTGTAGCCGAGAGATTTGTGTTCTCCAGCAAGACCTAAGGCAAGAGATCAGAGCCCCAATGAGGCTGAGCTTGTCTCTGACCACCTCCCCTTCTCCCCAACTGTTTCTCATGACCCCTGACCTCCTACCTCTTTGTAACCCAGTATCTGGCCTGTGGTTGGGTGTCTTTGGGCCTGTAGGTCGGATGGGACTGGGGCTCCCAGGACAGCCAAAAGAGACCAGGGATCCGTCTTCCTCTGCCATTTTCTGGAGAGAAAAATAGTAACTTTTGGGTCTTCTTTCTTCCTCTGTCCCAGCTTCCTTCAGGAACCCATCACCCTAGTCTAAGCCCCTCCAGACTCCTCACCGGGCTGAGTGCTCCACACCATGCAGAGGCAGCCAGGCTGGGGATGACAGAAACAACTGTTCTGCTTCTTGCTGCAGATCTGGGGCACAAGGAGGGAGGCCATGGGGAAGCTGAAACAAGGGCAAGATGAGAGGCATTAGGTAAGGAAAGAGGATAAAATGCAGACAAAAGAGATGATGGGACTTGTGTTCAGATCAGAAATGGCAGAT
Organism: Homo sapiens; assembly: GCF_000001405.40. Lineage (NCBI taxonomy): Eukaryota > Metazoa > Chordata > Mammalia > Primates > Hominidae > Homo > Homo sapiens. The sequence continues at coordinate 3,261,099 of NT_167249.2, read as the reverse complement.
GTGTCAAACAGACTAGGACAATCAGGCTTGGCCAAAAACTACCTGCTACTGAATTACCTGGGGCAGATTTTGGATTTCAGAAACATGGAGGCTGGACCTAGGAATGTGCATTTTTAAAAAGCTCCCTGGCTAATCATGAAGCACACTGAAATTGGAGACTCACTGATTTTAGAAAAAGGGGTCCCAGACCTAAGGATGAAAGGTTGGAGGCTCAAAGCCTATCATCTCAGTCACCAAGTGCCCTGGTGCTTGGATACAGAAGGGAGCTCCACGGAGAAATGCCACATTTGAAAGAGCAGCTCTCAAAGCAAAAATATCCCCAGCCCTTTCTGCTCTGTCCTCACACGTACTGCAGGTACACTGGGCTGTAATCTGTCCAGCACCCCTTCAGGCTGGGATGGACAGGAGTACAGGCACAGATGAACAAGGTTAAGCTAGATCCTACTGTGAGGAGGGTGAAGGAGGTTTGGACTCAATGCGGGTCAAAGGTTAGGGTCAAAAGTCACTCACGCTACTCTCTGGAGCTCCAGGCAAGTTCAGCAGCTCCCAGTGCCCCGTGCATCCGAGCTCCACGGCCCGAAGGGGTAGGTCCAGGGGATCTGGAGGGGGTAGCACTACGGGGAAAGGTCAAAAGTCAGGGGTCAAAGTTCATTCCATATCGGCTACTCCGTTCCATTTCCCTCCCCTCCCCCTCACCAAGTCGCTCTGTCTCCATCATCCTGGAGCCACAGCAGCTGCCTGGCAGCCCGGAAGTGCGGCAAGTAGTCGCTGCGAAGTAAGCCCCGCCCCGGAACGGGCGGAAGTAGAGGCAACTTCCGGTACAGCCCCGCCGAGAGCGTGAACTATCGCTGCGGAGGGGCAGACCTGGACCGGTGGAAGGCCGGGCGGAAGTGCGCGCCTGGGGCCGCCTTGGTTACCGCGTTTTCCGCTCCTCGCTACGTCATCGTTGTGAGCCCGCTATCAGCGGCCAGCGCGGGCGCGGCCGGAGACCGTGGGGCCCCCGGTTGCCGCCCCCTCGGGTAAGGCCCTCTGCTTCTCACTCTTCGGCCCTTTTTCTCATAGCCGTTTCTCTGTTCTTCCTCTTTGCGTTGCTCTGCGGGCGCTACGCTGGCTCCACCGCCTTCTCTGCCGTTCAAACCCCGCGGTTGTCCTTACCCTAGCGAGGGTAGGGGGGTCGGGTGCCATCGTCTTTCCGACGGAGTGGATATTTGTCCCTCCTTGAACCACATGGTACCTAAAGGTGCTGGTGTCTGTGATCCCTGGAGACAGGAGGGAATGCTGGATGATCCCGACCAGCGGGAGCTTGGACAGCAGCCTGGTTTAAGCAAGGGGTAGGGAAAGCCAAAGACAAGAGTAGGCAGACCTGAAGGGGTGGGGTTGGGTACAGTGTGGACGGCGTGTGAACCCCGGGTGGTAACAGTGGAGAAAGATGTCTTGGGCCCTGCCCCTGAACTAGGAGCCACCATGTTGGTGATACCCCCCGGACTGAGCGAGGAAGAGGAGGCTCTGCAGAAGAAATTCAACAAGCTCAAGAAAAAGGTGAGGGACTGTGTGTGGACATGGCCTAACCTTTCACAGACTCTGCACTCTGAGAAGATATGGGGTGAGTGTGAGCGAATGGGGAAGTTTTTCTGGCCCATACCTAGAGACATATCACCTCACAGTGTAGCTTCGAGAGGTGGGCTTTCCCAAGCCTTGGTGTGGACCTTCTGTCTTTTCTATGCAATTTGCCATGGATTGTCTTCCTTTCCCATGGCTTTTAGTACCGCTTAAGAGCTGATGATCCCCAAGTTTGTTTTTTCCAGTTCTATCCAGTGTTATACTGAAAAACTTCAGATACTCAGTGTTGAAGCTATCATCTTTCTATTCTTGATCTTCCAAATAAGATTGACTACACCAATTCTGCCACATGTTTGGACTCAAAACTCTGACTTCCCCACTATTTGCATAGTCAAACCTTTGCCAAGTCTTATTGTTTCTTCTTTTGAAGTAATTTTTCCTGTTTATTCTTCACTGTGCATTCCCCCGAGCAGGGCTTTATTGACATTCATGTGGGCCATTGTAATGGTCTCTCAACAAATTTCTCAGTCTTTTTTTTTGAACAGACTTCTTCACTCCTGTTCAAATGATCCATTGAAAACACAAAATTCTGCTCCCTCTGTTTCTCAAAAACCATAAATGGCTTCACATTGTCTATAAAAAAGCCTCAAAACCTTAGTTTGGCAGCCTTGTCTAGTAAAGTAGAACTATTCACTACTTCCAAAAGATGCATTCCCAAAGCCTTCTTATCTCTGCATCTTTGCCACCCTGTTTTCTTTTTCTAAAATACCCTTCTCCTCTCTGTGTTGTGCAGAGATACGGGAGAGGGCCTAGTTTAATAGCCATTAAACATCAGAAAATCTTACTAGCTTTCAGCTATGAATAATCTGCACCTCTTATAATTGTATTGCTAACTCAATGTATTTTATTTCTCAGACTGTAAGCTTCTTGAGGGTAGGAACAATGCATTAGCCTCCTGGATATCCCTGTTACGAAGTCATGGCTGGGCCTCATTCAATATGCAGGAAATAGATGGATGAAGCTTCCAGGAAAGGCACATAAACTTATACTTACTTGCAGCTTATATCCTAGGATTCTAGTCCATGATTGAGTTATTTGTCTTCAACTTCAAAAATGTAACACTCTGGAAAACCTCTGGGTTCCGTGGTTTGGTTAGATTAGGAATTTCCAGCATCATACATGATCTAGGGGACCAGAGGCAAGAGGCAGAGCACATCAGTGTACCACTCTGAGGGCATCAAGAAAGACGGTCCCTGGAGTGATGTGCCCAGGGGCCTTAGGAGAGGAACCGGCTAGGGGCTGGCCCTCACTTACCTCTCTCTTCTCACCCTTGTTCCCAGAAAAAGGCATTGCTGGCTCTGAAGAAGCAAAGTAGCAGCAGCACAACCAGCCAAGGTGGTGTCAAACGCTGTGAGTGACAGGGGAAATGGGGATGGACTGGAAGTGGGCAGCATGGAGCTGACCTTCATCATGGCTTGGCCAACATAATGCCTCTTCCCCTTGTCTCTCCAGCACTATCAGAGCAGCCTGTCATGGACACAGCCACAGCAACAGAGCAGGCAAAGCAGCTGGTGAAGTCAGGAGCCATCAGTGCCATCAAGGCTGAGACCAAGAACTCAGGCTTCAAGCGTTCTCGAACCCTTGAGGGGAAGTTAAAGGTGAGCACAAGCAGAAAGATTGTTTAAAGGGCATCCCTCCAAGTTGGAATGTAGATGGGTTTGGGGAAAAATATGCATACTCAAGCACTGGCAAATTGCTGTACCATTCTGAGTTTCACCTCTCATGTATAAAATGAAAAAACTAGACGACTCCTGAATTCTCCATTTTACAAATTCTGTGGTTCTAATCCACCTTGGATTGGAGCTCTTGGAATATGTTGCCCTAAGGGATGGAAAGGGCTGAAAATGTTATCAGGTTCAAGAGAGGTTCAAATAAACTGAATACATAATATATCGAGTCACTTATAAAAAATACCAGCTGGGCGTGGTGGCTCATGCCTGTAATCCCAGCACTTTGGGAGGCTGAGGTGGGCAGATCACTTGAGATTAGGAGTTTAAGACCAACCTGGCCAACATGGTAAAACCCCGTCTCTACTAAAAATACAAAAATCAGCAGGGTGTGAGGCCGGGCGCGGTGGCTCACACCTGTAATCCCAGCACTTTGGGAGGCCGAGGCAGGCGGATCACGAGGTCAGGAGATCGAGACCATCCTGGCTAACAAGGTGAAACCCCATCTCTACTAAAAATACAAAAATTAGCCGGGCGTGGTGGCGGGCGCCTGTAGTCCCAGCTACTTGGGAGGCTGAGGCAGGAGAATTGCTTGAACCCAGGAGGCGGAGCTTGCAGTGAGTCGAGATTGTGCCACTGCACTCCAGCCTGGGTGACAGCGAGACTCCGTCTCAAAAAAAAAAAAAATTAGCAGAATGTGGTGGTGCACACTTATAGTCCCAGTTACTGAGGAGGCTGAGGCCAGAGAATCACTTGAACCCAGGAGGCAGAGGTTGCAGTGAGTGGAGATCACACCACTGCACTCCAGCCTGGACGACAGAGCAAGATTCTGTCTCAAAAACAAAACAAAACAAGCCACAATGGCAGGTGCGGCAATGGCTCATTCCTGGTTAATTTCAGCACTTTAGGAGGCCGAGGTAGGAGGATTGCTTGAGCCCAGGAGTTTGAGACCAGCCCTGGCAACATAGTGAAACCCTATCTCTACAAAAAAAAAAAAAAATACAGAAATTAGCCAAGCATGGTAGAGCACATCTCTAGTCCCAGCTACTAGGGAGGCTGAGGTAGGAGGATTGCTTGAGCATGGGAGGTCAAGGCTGCAGCAGGCTACGATTGCTCTATTGCACTCCAGCCTGGACAACAGAGCAGGACCGTGTCTCAAAAAAAAAAAAAAAAAATAAGTAAAACCACGTCAAATAAGAAATGTATGTAGAATTAAAAGGGAAGAAAAGATCAGAGGAAACCTAGAAGAGGGTGAGGGAAGAGGAACACCTCTGGTCCATGGTTGGGCAACCTCCTGCTCCACACTGAGGTAGGTCTCTCACCACTCCAGGACCCCGAGAAGGGACCAGTCCCCACTTTCCAGCCGTTCCAGAGGAGCATATCTGCTGATGATGACCTGCAAGAGGTAAAGGCTCCTAATTTCTGTCCCTGAGGGGTTGGGGATGGAGGAATATGAGAGACAAATATATTTTGGACCACATGTCAGCAACTGGAAATCATCTTAACTGTTCTTGGTCTCTTTTACAGTCATCCAGACGTCCCCAGAGGAAATCTCTGTATGAGAGGTTAGAGAGTAGAGATAAGGCTGGGCCCATTTGGTGGAGTTGATTGCCTGAGTCCTTGGGAGGTTTGGGCTGTAGGAGCTGGGCTATAGAGGGAATATTGAGTCTCCACAGGGTCTGAGGGGAGAAGGTAAAACCCCCCTTTGATCTTCAGTCTGCATCTCCCCAGCTTTGTGTCTTCTAGTGATCGACTTCGAGAACTAGGACCAGATGGAGAAGAGGCAGAGGGCCCAGGGGCTGGTGATGGTCCCCCTCGAAGCTTTGACTGGGGCTATGAAGAACGCAGTGGTGCCCACTCCTCAGCCTCCCCTCCCCGAAGCCGCAGCCGGGACCGCAGCCATGAGAGGAACCGGGACAGAGACCGAGATCGGGAGCGGGATCGAGACCGGGATCGAGACAGAGACAGAGAGCGGGACAGGGATCGGGATCGGGATCGAGATCGAGACCGGGAACGGGACAGGGATCGGGAGCGGGATCGAGACCGAGACCGAGAGGGTCCTTTCCGCAGTGAGTGATTTTGGCTGGAGGTCAAGGTGACCTTAACTGAGGTTTATGTGGGTCCTACTAAGTGAAATGTGGCATGGGCTATGTCTTGTGACTATGATTTGTGCTCCCAAAGGGTCGGATTCATTCCCTGAACGGCGAGCCCCTAGGAAAGGGAATACTCTCTATGTATATGGAGAAGACATGACACCCACCCTTCTCCGTGGGGCCTTCTCTCCTTTTGGAAACATCATTGACCTCTCCATGGACCCACCCAGAAAGTAAGGATGACAACAGGGCATGATGAGAAGTCCTGGGAGAATCCTGGGGTGTGAGACCTGAGGGAAGAAGCTGCCCTCCCTGCAGCCGCCTATTATCACTGGGTTTGGTTGGGTCCAGAAGAGCCCCTTGGCTCTCCACTGACCGTGTTTTCTCTTATCCCAGCTGTGCCTTCGTCACCTATGAAAAGATGGAGTCAGCAGATCAGGCCGTTGCTGAGGTTGGAACTTCCCAAATCTGTTCTTCCCATCGCTTCTGCTGTTCTCATGTGTTCTCCTCAAAATACTAGATGCCAGGAAGAAGTTGGTTCCTCTTGATAAAGAAAGCCTCTCCCTATTCACACAGAAAAACTCACATTCTCAGATTCCTTATTCAGTCTCCTCCTAGGATAGCAACTCCTGGAATAACTTCTTTGGTTTATCTGTAATGTTTTCCTCCCCATCCTCTGCCTCCCCTCTTCTGCTTCAGCTCAACGGGACCCAGGTGGAGTCTGTACAGCTCAAAGTCAACATAGCCCGAAAACAGCCCATGCTGGATGCCGCTACTGGCAAGTCTGTCTGGGGCTCCCTCGGTAAGAATGGGATTCTTCCTTTCCCATCCTTTCCCCCACAGGCCATTCCTTTTGGTTCCCCCACACATCCTTGGGTTTCCTAGAGATGATCGAGGTCAGAGTGTGTGCGGAGGCTATGGGAATGGGAAGGAAAATTTCAGATCCTCTGTCAGTTAGAGGTAAAGAAAGGAGAGAAAAGGATTGAAAACAGCTTCCAAAGCAGTGACTGGAACAGGGAAGAAAGTGGGAGCTGGAGTGAGATTGGTGAGGAAGATGAGTGTCTCATGGGGCTTGTTCATTTTGAGATGGAGTAGAGTGAGTTTCATAAGTATTCGAAATCAGGGATCTGGAACTCAGGTGTGAGGTAAGGAAGGAAAACATAGATTAAGTCATCCACATCACAGGGTGGCTGCCAAACAATAGGATCATCAGGGAGACTCTGATTTCAGAGAAAAAAAAACGACCCAGGACTCAGTTTGAGGAGTACTCTGGGACTATGTTAGGAAACAGGACTGTTCACCTCACACCCCACATGTCCCCAGCTGTCCTGACATGTTAGGCTAACGTTGAGCCTAACGTTAGCAAAGGAGACAGGAGGAGGGGTCGGAGGGCTGGGAGCAGCACCGCAGGGGCCTGGGCCACTGAAGCAAAAGGACACACACTTTGAGAAAGAGGGAGTAGCCAGCAGTGTTGAGGCACAGAGATCACAGGATGGGAGTGGGTGAGAGAGATTCTCTGTAGCTCAAGGGTGGTGGGGATGGAACCATTGGATGGGGTGAAGAGAGTAACATGTCTGGTGGAGGGAGGAAAGAGGAAGGGGAAGAAACAGCTAGAGGCTTGAGAGAGAATGGTGAGGGCCAAAGCTACACCCTGAATGAGTTCTGGTGGAGCTAGTAGCATTTCTTAGTGTGAATAATCCATTTTCCCTGAAAGTAGATTTTCCTGGGAAAGGAGTGAGCAGAAAGAAGGGCTCAGCTACAGTGGCCCTTCAGGCAAAAGAAAGGAACTAGAATTGACCAGCATGTCAAAAAAGGGCTACAGAGGTTTTCTAGTTTTTAGCTTCTGACATACTGACTGTAAGTAGTGGGTTAATATCATTCACGTGTCTCAACAATGACATTTGGGATTTTTCTAAGAACAAAACATTCATCAAAATGTCCACTTATACTTTTCTTGGCCATGGGTTGGCACAAAGGAGCTAAGGAAGACAGGCCATCCTGGCCACCAGAGGGCAGCGTGGAAACTGGGCTTCCAGGGGCCAGTGGCCAGGAGTGAGGTGGTCAGGAGTCAGCCTCAGGGTCTGTTCTATGATCTCCTTTAGACCTTAACTGTTCCTCTCCTCCCTCCCTAGCTGTCCAGAACAGCCCTAAGGGTTGCCACCGGGACAAGAGGACCCAGATTGTCTACAGTGATGACGTCTACAAGGAAAACCTTGTGGATGGCTTCTAGGGAACAGAGCTGGATTCCTTGTGCCTCATATGCCCCAATGCTGGTCTCAGTAAAACACTGAGGTGGAAGCTTACACATCTCCCTCAGCCTCTGGTTTTTCAGCACTTGGGATTGGGGTTAAACCTTTAAAAACGGCTGTCAGGTTTGATCTCAGTGTAACAACATGGCCAGTGCCTGTTCCCCACTCCCTTGCCCCAAAAGGATCTGGAACACAGGTGTTGTCGCAGCTGTTTTAATTCAATCCCACGCCCCTGTCCAGCAGGAAACCCCTTATAGAAAACCCAAATCCTCATCTTGGAGTTTCTCCTTCAGCCAGGGCAGCACTTGAAAGAGGTTGATGTGAAAGTCTCGGGCGTGAGCAGGTACCTGCTTTTGCCGCTTCTGGTTTTTGCAGACATCCACTACTCCCCAGCTGATTACACCAACCTGCAGAGGCAGTGGGGTGCCATGGATCATTCAGTAGAATTCCTAATCCTGGAAGCATGGCTGTTCCTGCTTGCGTCTTAGCTGACCTAAAGGAATCAGACTAGGGACCCAGCTCAGCCTCGTTCTTGACACACGCAGGCAAGACATGCGGTCCTAAGGTGAGGCAGGCTCTGCCTACCTCGAATTACTAGCCACATGCATTGAGCTTTCCTGCTTTGGGGCCCATGCTGACCACTTGGCATCTCCCCAGATAGGAAAGGGAGGACTCACTTGAATGAAACGACTTCTCTTGTGAACTATCAAGGGGCCGCCAGAATCACCTGCAAGGAGAGGAGAAGCTGTAGAGAAAAGGACTGTTGGGCCTTGGGCACTTGTAGCACAACCAAAGAGCATTCTCTCACCTCTGCAAGTATTGGGGTCAGCATAGGGACTCACTCCTCCAGTACAAAGGAACCGAGGGGTGACCACCTCTGAGATGTCCTTGACTTTGTCATAGCCTGGGGCATATTGAGCATCTCTCTCACAGCTGCCTTTCTGTAGGGGAGGTGGGAAGCATGGAGAAGTAATGAACAGAAGTGGCTTAGGAAGGATTGGGGCCTAGAGTGCCTCCTTAGGATGCCCGTTTCTCACCTTATCCCCATTCTTGATGTAGACCTCCTTCCGAGTCAGCTTTTTCTCCTCCTCAGACACAAACAGAGCTTTGATATCCTGTGCAGGGAGCAGCTCTTCCTCTGGACGAATAGACTGCGTCACTTCAGCTGCTCCCACCACTGTCATCTCCCCATTGCCTTTGTCACTCAGTAGATGTCCCCTAAGCCCTTCTAGAGCTAGGTTCTGGGCCAGGCATCATCTCTTCCTATTGCACCTCCCTCTCATGCCCCACTTGTCTCTTGGGATCTCATCCTTATCCTCTTGCCAAGTATGTCTTACTTTGTTGCTGGCAAGTGGTAGTTGGAGGAAGCCTCAAAGCTCGAGTTGTTCCCTCGGTGCAGGGGAGACAAATGGGCCTATAAAGGACAAGGAGAACAGCAAACCAGGCCTGCTCCTCACCCCAGTCCTCCAGCCTTTCCCAGCCTTTCCTCAGGGATCTGGACGCTCTCACCTGATAGTCTGGCCATATTTCAGCTTATTCTTGAGCTTGATCAGGGCAACGTCATAGTCATAAAATTCAGGAATTCCTGCTTCTTTTTTCCCATTAATGTTGTAGTTGGGGTGAAATAGGACTACTTCTATCTCCAGGTCCCGCTTCTCCCCTCCTGAAGTAGGAGAGTAGGTACCACCTCTTTGTGGGCAGCTTCCTGCCTCTGGCCCCGTGTCATTCCTAACTTCACGTCTTCCCCCATCCCTGACTGGTCTGGGGTGCAAGGAATGGGGCTGCATTGAGGATGGGTGGAGTGTAGGATCTGTAGAAAGTGGGAGGTGTTGCCTGGAGAGCATAGGTGCAGCCCAGGACCTTCAGTTGCATCCTTACCTACGCTGACCTTGATTGAGTGTTCCTTGTCATCCACAGTGAAACAATGTGCTGCTGTCAGCACAAAGTACTCAGACACCACAGCCCCCATACAGCTCTCGTGTCCCTTTGAAGGGCGCTGGGGACACAACAGTAGAGAGGGAAAGCTCAACTTTCACAAACCACCATCTCTTATGGCCATTTTTTCCTTCCCCTACTCCCATTTCACCTTGACCTCACCTCCCCCAAGTCCCCACTACTGGGATTCTGTGCTTACAATGACTGAGATCTTGGCCTGCCATGGTTGCTTGTGGTAATCGGTACCCTTCCTGTGTTCCCAAACCATGCCACAGAGACTCAGAGACTGGCTTTCATCTGGCAGAGAAGGAGAATGTGCTGAAAACTCGGAACACTTCATTCCCAAATGGCAGCAGCCTTTTGGGTAGGAGTCTATGGGGAGCAAAGGCCCAAAAGGAGAAAGGGAAAGACCACGGGTATTTGTTTCCTCGTGTTAGGAGAAAACTGCTATGGTGGACTGAAAAGGGAAAGAACTTGGGATCAAGCTGTCAGAGGCCTGGCTGTTTTCAAGCCCACCCTTGTTGCTAACTTGCTGTCCCTTGACCTCCTTTGGCTTCTGTTTCCACGTGTCAAATGTAGGACTGTAGAAAGATCTCTGAAGTGCTCAGAGCTCTGTGATTCTAAGGTTAAGTGAACAGTGCCAGGAAACAAGAATAGTGACACTGAGGTAGAGAAGGAGGAATGAAGAAGGCTTTCCAGGCAACTAGAGCTTCAGGTGTAGAGGAAGAATGAATTACTTCAGGGGAACCTGAGGAGAGTTGTGTTCTTTATTCCCTTGTATCTCCCTACCGATCATTTGGTAGAAAACATCTTCCAGGTTTTCCATATCCTTGACTTTGAACACATGTTGCTCATTGTCTTTCTTGGAAGCCAAAGCATTGATGTTCACTTGGTTCACCAAAGGCCCGACCCCAAACACATAGACATCTGAGGGATAAAAAGGAAGGATGAGGGTCCAAGCCCTGAGGAAGTGGGGTGCTGGGTCCTAGGCAGGTTACTCACCCAGATAATCCTCCCTTGGGTTTTTGCGATCCTTGCCAATGTATAGCAAGTCCCGGATCTCATCAATGACAGTAATTGGGTCCCCGCCCATGTTGTGCAATCCTGCAGAAGAGACAGGACCATGAGGGTAGGAGATAAGGAAGATAAACTGGCTAAAGGCAGGGATACACATGGCAGGGTGAGCAAGTTGAGGAAGGGTTAGAGATAGTTGATCACAGGGCTTAGGAAGAATTCCTTATGAAGGGTCACAGGAGAGATGAACAGCCAGCTATGAGTCACATTCAGGGCCCCAACCATGGGTATAGTGTTACAAGTGGACTTAAGGGCCACATGCTGGTCTGAGAAGGTGGGGAGGCTGGGACAGGAGAGAGGTCCCTTCTGACCATCAGTCATGAGGATGATGACATGGCGGGTGCGGTTCCAGCCTTCAGGAGGGACGTCATCTGGCCAGCTCATCATGCTGTACACTGCCTGGAGGGCCTTCTTGGTGTTAGTCCCTGACTTCAACTTGTGGTCTGTGGAGAGGGAAGAGACCATCACCTCACCTGGTCTTCCAAGCCATCTTTTAACCCCAGAGACCAATCTGCAACTGAAATCCCACATCTTTCAACTTTTTAAGTTAATCATCATTACACGGACTTCCCTTTGACCACAAAGTGGCCCTTCCAGCCCCCAACAGGTTCCCACTAACCTCCATTGCCCAACGATCCTGCTGTTCAACCTTTGACTACAAAGTGGTCCTCCCTGTCGCCCTCAAGGTAGTCTCATGACCCCCTCCACCCTGAACCTCCTGACCCCAAAGTGAACCTCCCACCATTCCCTAACCTCTGACCTTCATAATTGATTTCATTGAGCTGCTTCGTGACCCAGTCTGCATTACTGCTGTCTGCTTCAGACACTTTGACCCAAATTTTGGGGTATGTGGCATATGTCACTAGACCATATCTTGGCTTCACACCATAACTTGCCACCTGTGGGTGAGGAGAACAAGGCGCCATGGCATTGAAAATAGAATACTGTGATTGGGAGATTTCAGCGACTTTGCTGGGACAGGGAGGCTCTCAGTAAGAGGCTCAAGGGCTGAGGTTCATGGAGGAATTACCAGTCAAGAAACTGCTTCAAGTAAAAGGGAAGGAGGACAGAATAGGACCTGGAGATTTTCCTGGGGCCCTGTTGTTCAGAGGGGCTGGAATGATCAGGGAGCTAGTCCTGGAAGATCAGCGAGATTCCATTCCCCCGAGTTCAGGGATAGGAGGATTCCACCTTCTCAATTAAGTTGACTAGACACTTTTTGGCTCCTGTGAAGTTGCTGGCCCCAATGCTGTCTGATCCATCTAGCACCAGGTAGATGTTCATGGAGCCTGAAGGGTCCAGGACGATCTTCCGCTTCTGTTGTTCCCCTGGGTGCCAGGAGAGTGGCTCAGGCTCCAGCATTAACAGTTCTGTCCCTTCTCCATTTTCCCCCAGTTCCCTGCCCTGCCTCCCTTCTCTGTCTTCAAACCTGGGCCGTGCCCATCCTCAGCATCGACTCCTTCTATGGTCTCTGTCAGGGAAGACAGGAAAGCTTCGGCCACCTCTTGAGGGGTGTCGTACATGAAGGAGTCTGGGAGAGTCAGAAATGAGGTCAAATGTCTGGGAGTGTCAGGGATACAGTGACCAAAGAGACGGGGGATCATGGGTTTCCAGGGTATAAAAGGCTCAGAAGTGAGATAGTTGTACAGGGAGGTTTAAACAAAGTGAGGAAAGAGCAGGGTTGAGGTGGGGAGAGAAGACAGTAGGATGGAAGACCAGGATCTGACCTGGGGGTACAGGTCAAAGGTCACCTTGGCAGGAAGGCTCCGTCCCGCTCCAAGAGCCACCTTCCTGACACGTTCGCCGCTGGGAGCCACGCAGGGTAAGCCCCCGGCTGCAGTGGTAGGTGACGCTGTCTTCAAGGCGGTACTGGCTGCCCACCTTCCTTGTGCCAATGGGGATGCCCGGGTTGGAGCAGTACCCCGCTGCAGAGGTATGAGACATCGAGGTAAGCACTGAAGCCTGAGGCCCCGTGAGCAAGGTAGAGAGCAAGAGTTACAGTGTCCGGAGCCGAGTGCCCACTCCTCGGGCTGGGCGCCGTCAGGGAGACAGCAATGTAGGGGGAGGGGATGCTTCTCACCTCCGTTGTCACAGATCGCTGTCTGCCCACTCCACCGGCCATTCACTTGGCAGGTGCGATTGGCAGAGCCCCGGAGAGTGTAACCGTCATAGCAGTGGAAAGAGATCTCATCACTCACATTGTAGTAGGGAGACCGGGGCCAGTATTCCCCGTTCTCGAAGTCGTGTGGTCTTGGACAGTGGATTGCTTTGAGAAGGGGGGACAAGTAGAAGTCATCAAGAGGGAAAGGCTGCCTTAGGTGTATCCCTCCTGGTCTCGGAGACCATGTCACTGAGAAACAGCGCATTCCCAGTCCCGCAGAAGCAGCATCTTACCTACTCCTCAACCCATATGGATTTCCACTGCTTCTCCCTCCCCATTTCTGAGTGTTCTCTTGACTTCCAGGGCTGCCTGGAAGCCCAGGGTAAATGCTTAGTAAGGGTTAACTCCGCTTTTTCTTGCCCCCTTTCCGCCTGCCACCCTAAAACTGCTCCTACTCCCGGTCAGCCCACCTTGTCACCCTGCCTAGTCTCATCCTAGTCCTGACCTTGCTGCCGCCTGCCCTGTTTCTGCCTTAGGCCACTGCCCACACTCATTGCCCTCAAACCTCTGCACTCTGCCTTCCTGACAGTCTTTTGGTCTTGAGTCTTCAGGGTGCTCCAGGACCCCGTAGATCTGCAGGTACGTGTCTGCACAGGGTACGGGTAGAAGCCAGAAGGACACACGTACTCCAGTGCCTGGCCCTCTTGGAGAAGTCGGAAGGAGCCGCCTTTGATCTCTACCCCCTCCAGAGAGCAGGATCCCTGGGGCCGGGCCAAAGACCATGGAGTGGTGGTCACACCTGAAGAGAAAGGCTGATGAAGCCTGGCCCCAAAAGGCCAAGGAGGGATGCTGGAGACAGCAGGAAGGGAAGGTTACCCTCGCTTACCTCCAGACAAGAGGCCCAAGATAAAGGGCATCAGGCAGAGTTGGGGGCTGAGATTGCTCCCCATGGCGTTGGAAGGCAGGAGAGAAGCTGGGCCTGGGGCAGGATGGTGTGTCCTGGCTTGCTTTGCTTGTCTGCTTGGCTCAGTGTCCAAGCTGAAACTCCAGACCTAGACCTGGTCACATTCCCTTCCCCTGCTCCCCACCAGCCCCCAGCCTTTTATACAATCTGTGTTCTGGCACCTGCGGCTCGCCCCGCCTGTCCTACCCACATCACTTTCCCGGAACATCCAAGCGGGAGGGCCCCGCTGAGCTGCCAGTCAAGGAAACAGAAACTGCAGAAGTCCCACCCTTTGCTGCCAAAGGTCCAGGACTCTCCCCTTCAGTACCTCCTCTCCGGCCTTAGCTCCTCCCCAGTAAGCCCAAACCACCCACTTAGGGACCAGAAATAAGGATCCAGCTCACTCCCCTGTTGATTGTGTGTTATGGTGCAGAGTCCAGCCACTGTTTGTCCAGTGGGGTCTCTGACCTGCCTTCCTGTAGCTCTTGGAGTCATTCTGGCCTCCCCCTCCCCCAAGGCCAGCCCTACCTGGCCTCCAGATAGAGGCACTGAGAGATGTGGAAACCATTGATTTTTATTAATTTCATAACTGGGAAATTCCATGTGAAAGTGAAACAAGCATGAGTCAAGTCAACCAGGGAAGGAATCTGGGGACAGGCCAAGGAGCGGGAGGTGGGGCAGCGAGGCAGTCCTGCTGGTAGGAGCCCTGAGGATTTCCCAGCTTGTGTGCGCTGCCTCTGGCATCCTAGAGACCCGGATTTACTCAGCTAGGAGAGAGGATGGATCACAGGGTCTAAGGGTGGCCATTCAGAGGTAGAAGATGGAGGGGCGGCAGATTCTGGCAGGGCAGCAGAGGGCTCAGTGGCCATGGCTAGAGGGGTAAAAAATTCAGGACATCCCCCAGGTGCTGCCTCAGCCAGGGCTGCATGCGGAAGAGATTGATGTGAAAGTCTCGTGGCGGCGGGACCTTGCTACGAGGGGCCCTTTTGCGGGAGTTTTTGTCAGCAGAGCCAAGGCAGGGGTTGTAAAGACCCCAGCTCACCAGACCCACCTGGAGAAAAGGAGAGAACTGGCTGGGAGGCTGCCACAGCCCCAACTGTAAGCCCCAACCTCCCTAGATCCCTCAAAGGCCTCCCTCATCCCCCCAACAAGGCTGAGATCCTGTAACCCCTGGGTCCTGCAAGCTTCTACCTTCTCACCTGAAAAAACCTGAATCTCCGCTCAAGGAAAACTGCTCCCCCAGATTCTCCTGCCAGCAAAGGGTGACAGGAGACAGTGTCATCTAGGGCAGTGGACTGGTGTTCTGGCATGCATGCTGGCCACAGAGACACAGGTGGCCTTCCCCTTGGGAATCCAGGCATGGTGAGGGACTCACCCTTGCAGGGACTCTCATCCTCCTGGGTCCCACTGCATAGGAACTGGTCTGTCACCACCTCCCTGACATCTGTCAAGTTGGGGAACATGGTTTTTTCTTGGGAGACAACCTCGGCACAGCTTGTCCACTGCAGCAGGGGTGGAACCAGAGAGAAGGGTAGAATAAGCAGACCCGGGTGGGTGCAGTGGCTCACGCCTGTAATCTCAGCACTTTGGGAGGTTGAGGCAGGCAGATCACTTGAGGTCAGGAGTTCAAGACCATCCTGGCCAACATGGCGAAATCCCGTCTCTACTAAAAATACAAAAATTAGCTGGTGTGGTGGTGGGCACCTGTAATCTCAGCTACTCGGGAGGCTGAAGTAGGAGAATCGCTTGAACCCAGGAGGCAGAAGTTGCAGTGAGCTGAGGTCGTGCCACTGCACTCCAGCCTGGGAGACAGAGCAAGACTCCATCTCAATAACAACAAAAAAAGAATAAGCAGACCCAGGGACACCTAGCAGGTTTGTGAGGCTTGGGAGGAGGGGTGACCCGCGTCAGAGAGAGAAAGCAGCCAGACCTGGAGAAGGAAGAGAGACATTCTGGGAGCTGTCACAGGGGGATCCCAGCATCCCCAACCTGAGACCCTCACCTCCACTCCCATCTTAAGGTTAATGTTCAGTTTGCTCCCATTCAAGGCGACAAAATGAGCAGGAACACTCTGTTTGTTCAGCAGTTCATTCTCTATAGTCAAGAGAAGGGGATGTTGGTGCTGGTCCTTTTACCCAGAATCCAGGTTCCTGGCTTGGGGACTGCAGCCTAGTCCTTGTTATCACCCCCAAACCCCGGCCCCAGCTCTCAAGCACCATAAGTCCCAGCACTCACCATGGTCCCTACAGGTGCTGCCTTGAGGTCTCCGCAGAGCCAGATTGGCCTCCATCGTGCAGGGAAGGCAGATGGGCCTGGGGAGAAGAGCAAGGGTCACACCAGCCTGTCCCCAGTATCTCTTCCAGGGATCTCCAGAGCACTCTTCCCTGCAGGGCACCCTCCCATCCCAGACTCCAGGCACCTGGCATGGGTGGACATCTTTACTTTCTGGGCCAGCTTCAGCAGAGCTATGTCATCACCATAGAACTCCAGGATTCCCTGGTTCTTTTTGGCAAAGACATCAAACCCTGGGGAGATCACCGCCTTCTCAATAAGGAATTCTTTGCCCCACTGGGATTTGGGGTCTCCTGGAAATGATACACTAGATTAGGCTAGACCAGGGCTCCTGCAGGGGCCAGAGGCTGGGTGAGGTGGTAGGATCTGTGGCTTCAGGATCAGGAGGCTGGTGCATCCCCTGCCTTACCCACATTGACCCTCCACAGGGAGTGGTCGTTGCCATCGCGGAAGCAATGAGCTGCTGTCAGGACCCATTGGTCGGAGATGAGGGCCCCCCGGCAGGTCTCTTGGCTCTTGGGCTGCAGGGGAACAGGTGATTTTCAGAGATTGCAGTATGTCTGGCCCATGGCCGCTTTTACCTCTGGAATCCAAGCCCTGCCCCTCCTTCCTGGTACCTTAATAGTGACATGCCAGGGTGTCCTCTCCTGGTCAGAGGCGTTTGCTGACATGTTCCCCACCCCGCAGATGGTGTCTGTGAGCTTGGAGACATCTGTGGGTGTGAGGATCAGATGGGGAAGGAGGCAAGTGAGGGGCACTGTGTCCAGGTTCCCAACACGGGCCTCTGGCGGGCTCCTCACCATCCTCCCCACACCAAGGAGGGCAAAGCTCACTCACCCAGCATATGTTCAAAGACCTGGTGCAGAGCCTTTGTGTCCTGCAGAATGAAGGCATGCCTCTCACCATCCTTCTTGGACCCTAGCTCATTCAGTTCTCTCCAGTCCACATCCAGCTTGCCCACCCCGATGGCATAGATGTCTGGTGGGGAAGAGGGAAATCACCAGACTCCTGTGGCTTTGGGGCTACCCCATGAGACAGGAGGCTGTCATCTGAAACTCACTGTGTCCAATCAAGACCTACATGAGCTGGACCCCTGCGTCCTCCCCACTGCTACCTGTCTGCCTTCATTTCCTGCCACTCCCTGCCCTTCACTCTCCTGCAGCACACAGCCTCTTTGAAGTTCCTCAAATCCATAGGCATGGTCACACCTCAGGCCCTTTGCCCAGCTGTGCCTCTGCCTAGTTCACTCCTCCCCCCCAGACTTCCACATGGCTCACTTTCGTACCTTTTTAAGTCTTGGCTCAAATGTCACCTTCTCAGTGAGGCCTTCCCTGGTCTTCCTGTCTAAAACTGCAATGCCCCAGACAAACTTTCATCCCCACTTTGGGAGGCAAGGTGGGAGGATCCCTTGAAGCCAGAAGTTTGAGACCAGCCTGGGCAACATGGCAACACCCCTTAGCTTGTGTCACCTACCACCTGCTGGGTTCTATGGTTTTCTTATCCTGTTTATTCCCTGTAATGGTGGAATTGTGTCCCCCAGAAAGATGTGTTCGAGTCCTAATCCCCAGTATCTGTGACTTTATTTGGAAAAAGGGTCTTTGCAGATGTAATCAAGTTAAGATTAAGTCATACTAGATTAGGGTGAGCTCTAATCCAATGACTGAGGTCCTTATAAGAAGAGGTAAGCCAGAGCCAGGCGTGGTGGCTCACACCTGTAATCACCAGGAGGCGGTGGTTGTGGTGAGCCAAGATCGCGCCATTGCACTCCAGCCTGGGCAACAAGAGCAAAACCCCGTCTCAAAAAAAAAAAAAGAAGAGGTGAGCCGGGCACGGTGGCTCACACCTGTAATCCCAGCACTCTGGGAGGCTGAGGCGGGCAGATCACGAGGTCAGGAATTCAAGACCAGCCTGACCAACATGGTGAAACCCTGTCTCTACTAAAAATACAAAAATTAGCCAGACATGCTGGCACACACCTGTAATCCCAGCTACTCAGGAGGCTGAGGCAGGAGAATCGCTTGAACCGGGAGGCGGATGTTGCAGTGAGCCGAGATTGCACCACTGCACTCCAGCCTGGGCAACAGAGCAAGACTCCATCTCAAAAAAAAAAAAAAAAAAAAAAAGTGAACTGGCTGGGCATGGTGGTGACTCATGCCTGTAATCCCGGCAGTTTTTTTGAGGCGAAGGCAGGCAGATCGCCTTGAGGCCAGGAGTTTAAGACCAGCCTAGCCAACATGGCGAGACCATGTCTCTACTAAAAATACAAAAATTTGCCGGGCATGGTGGCACATGCCTGTAATCCCAGCTTCTTGGGAGACTGAGGCACGAGAATCACCTGAACCCAGGAGGCAGAGGTTACAGTGAGCCGGGATCCCGCCACTGCACTGCAGCCTGGGCTTCTGGGTGACAGAGCGAGACTCTGTCTCAAACAAATGAACAGAAAAAGAAGAAAGGAATTTGGACACAAAGACACAGGTAGTGGGTCTCCTATCTATATAAGAGAACAGCATGTAATGACACAGAGGCACACACAGAAAAGAAGGCGAGTTGAAGACAGAGGCAGAGAATGGGTTTATGCTGCCGCAAGCCAAGGTTGGAGCTGCCGGCAGCCGGAAAAGGCAGGAAAGAATTCTTCCCAAGAGCCTTCTGAGGAAGCACGGCCCTGCCAACACCTTGATTTCAGACTTCTAACCTCCAGAACTGTAAGAAAAAGAAATTCTGTGTTCTAAGCCACCCAGGTTTGTGGTAGTTTGGTAAGTACTTTTAAATGACTGAATGAATAGAAAGAACTCAGAACACAACATGGAAACTAAACCTCAGATCTGGTCTTCCTCTGTAAAAGGTAGCATCTGGGAGAAGGGCCTAAAGCCACGTTTTCCCACTGGAGGCCCTGGACCCACACAACAGGCCGCGCCTGTCCTCCGACTGTGGTGCCAGTCAGAACTGCCCTCAGACAGACCACAGAGTCTACTCCTCTCCCAGCCTTTGCACCCCTTGTGGCCCATTTTTGTTCTCAGAGAGCCCCGCGTTGTGTGTAAAAAGCAAGGTGCTTAGGTGGACCAAGAGATCTTCAGCCAGGAGGCAATCTGGCAATGGCCCAGATAGAAACAGTTACAGTTGGAGCTAGACAACGATCGTGCCTTGTGCGTTTTCTTTGACTATTTTCGTTTGGTTTCCTGCTTATTTTCAATAAAATGTTTTTGTAGCATTTGACCTTGGTCCAGTGATGCTAAGGAGGAAGGGAGTGGGCTTTAAATTTTGTCTTCCTTGGGCCAGAGTTTTAAAGAGGAATCAGCTTACCCCCGAGGGCCAGGTGATGGGGGAGGGGGCAGTGTGAATGGAAAGGAGAGGAGCTAAGGGGAAGATGAAAGGTTGGGGCTCAAAACCAGCTGCCCTCCCTGTCTGAGCATCTCTCTCTCTGAAATTACTTTCTGATCAAAGGTCAGTGCAATTTGTGTTTAGTCTGAACCTGAGGAATTTTTCCTTTAGAGGCTGCAACTGCCAAAGCCTTAGTTAGCCAGCTGTGCTGCTGAAAGAGCAACCACCAGGGACATTCCCCAGAGGGAATCGAGGTCCCTTCTTCCTGGAAAGTTTCCTGAAACATGAGATGCTATGATGATGATGATGATGATAACGACGACGGTCGTGGTCATGGCTAACATATGCTGGGCATTTTTCTATGCCAGGCAGGCAGTGTTTGTCTGAGCATCTTCCCCTGTCAGCTTGTGAGCTGGGTCCTAGTACTACTCCCCTTTTGCAGATGAAGAAACTGCCCATGGCCACAGCCCACTGAAGATGAAACCAAGGTTCTCTGTCTAAAGCTGTTGATTAAAAATAATAATTAAAAAATTAAAAATTGGCCAGGCACAGTGGCTCATGCCTATCTGTAATCCCAGCACCTTGGGAGACCAAGGCAGGCGGATCACTTGAGGCCAGGGGTTTGACACCAGACTGCCAACATGGTGAAACTCTGTCTCTATTAAAAATGCAAAAATGAGCCGGGCATGGTGGCACACACCTGTAATCCCAGCTACTCTGGAGGCTGAGGCAGGAGAATCATTTGAAGCCAGGACGTGGAGGTTGCAGTGAGTTGAGATCGAGTCACTGCACTCCAGCCTGGGCAACACGGCAAGATTCTGTCTCAAAAAAAATTTAAAAATTAATTTTAAAAAATTTGTGAAGACGGGCTGAGCATAGTGGCTCATACCTGTAATCCTACCACTTTGGGAAGCTGAGTTGAGGGGATCACTTGAAACCAGGAATTTGAGGCTGCAGTAAGCTATGATTGCACCACTGCACTTCATGGTGGCATGGTGGACATCGTTACTTTCTGGACCAGCTTCTGGGCCGGCATGGGTGGACATCTTTCCAGGAATATACTCTGAGTGTCAGTGAGACACTGTCTTAAAAAAAAAAAAAAAAAAAAAGAAGGTAAGGTTGAGACCATGGGCAGTAGTTTGACCCCAGGCTCTTCAACATGAGTTGCCTTTGTACAGAACAACGCAGAAATAAAACCATGTGGCTCTGGACCATAGCTAAGATGCTGGGATCCCTGGCTGAAGATCTCATGACCTCTGCAGGAGCAGAACAAATGTGGTGGCAGTGGCAGGGGCTCACCCAGATAGTCATTCCTCTTCTGGTTGATGTTCAGGATCTCTCTGATATGGTCAACAGCTGTCTTGGGAGAGCCACCCATATTGGACTTTCCTAGAACAAAGAGAATAAAGAATTCTTCTAGGTAATATCAGGATTTCCCCAGGCCCTGGAAGAGTAGGAAAGCATTTAGCCTGGGAACCTCAACATTTACATTGCCTGTGAGAGCTTCAAAATATACTTTTAGGCTGGGCATGGTGGCTCACACCTGTAATCCTAGCACTTTGGGAGACCGAAGAAGGCGGATTGCCTGAGCTCAGGAGTTCCAGACCAGCCTGGGCAACATGGTGAAACCCTGTCTCTACTAAAACCACAAAAAATTAGCCAGGTGTGGCCGGGCATGGTGGCTCATGCCTGTAATCCCAGCACTTTGGGAGGCCAAGGCAGGTGGATCACCTGAGGTTGGGAGTTTGAGACCAGCTTGACCAACATGGAGAAACCGCACCTCTACTAAATATACAAAATTAGCCGGGTGTGGTGGCACATGCCTGTAATCCCAGCTACTCAGGAGGCAGGAGAATCGCTTGAACCTGGGAGGCGGAGGTTGCGGTGAGCCGAAATCGCGCCATTGCACTCCAGCCTGGGCAACAAGAGTGAAACTCCATCTCAAAAAATAAAAATAAAAATTAGCCAGGCATGGTGACACATGCCTGTAGTCCCAGCTACTCTGGAGGCTGAGGCACGAGAATTGCTTCAGCCTGGGAGGCAGAGGTTGCAGTGAGCCGAGATCGCACCACTGTAGTCCAGCCTGGGCAATAGAGTGAGACCCTGTCTCAAAAAAATAAATATATATATATATATATGTATGTATACATATATATATATATACATACATATATATATATACACACTTTTACTGAAATGTTCTACATTCCAGGCACCAGGCCAGGTGCTTCCTATACTTTAACTCATTTAATTCTCATGAAACCCCAGGTAGAGTGGGTATCCTCATTTTATATACTAAGTCCTGGAGGAACTGTGTAATTTGGACAATAGCAAGAGGCAAATGACAAGGCCAGATCCACTACAGACTGTTCCTTGCATCCGTGCCCTTCGACATTCCTGCTCAAGAGCCACGTTTCCTCATCTATCTCCAAGTTACCTCCCAGATGGTAACAAGAGCTAACACAGAGCACTTTCACACAGGCAACTTAAATAGCTTTCCATAAAAATTGTGTAAGGAAAGGAGGACAGCCATCATGATCATCATTGCTGTCATTGTGGTTACGGTCATCATCATCAACACTAATTCTATTTATTTATTTATTTTATTTTGAGACAAGGTAGGATCTTGGTCTGTCACCCAGGCTGGAGTGCAGTGGCATGATCTTGGCTCACTGCAACCTCTGCCTCCCAGGTTCAAGCAATTCTCCTGCCTCAGCCTCCCAAGTAGCTGGGATTACAGGCGCCTGCCACCACACCCAGCTAATGGTTTTGTATTTTTAGTAGAGACGGGGTTTCACCATGTTAGCCAGTCTGATCTCAAACTCCTAACCTCAAGTGATCCACCCGCTTTGGCCTCCCAAAGTGCTGGGACTACAGGCATAAGCCACCACACTGGCCCTATTTTATAAATAAGAAACTGGGCCAGGTGTGGTGGCTCATGCCTGTAATCCCAGCACTTTGGGAGGCTGAGGCAGGAGGATTGCTTGAAGCCAGGAGTTTGAGATCAGCTGGGCAACATAGCAAGGCCCCATCTCTAAAAACAAAAACAAAACTGGGGCCCAAAGTGGCAGGCAGAGGGAGAATCAGAATTCAGGGCTTCTGACCCCATATTGGTGCCCCTTCCACTATTCCAGACACACTCAGAGACCATGATACCCACCATCTGTCAGAAGGATGATGGCATGTCGGATTTCCTGCCAGGCCATCGTTTCCATGCCGAGGAGTCGCATTTGGTTGTTCATCATGAGATAGACACTGTTTAAGGCCGCATAGGTGTTAGTCCCAGTTCCATTTTCATGATCTGGAATATGCCAAAAGGAAGGACTCTCTTAGAAACTTCCCACCTACCACCTAGGGGTAGGGAATCACTCTATTCCCCCAATTATTGGAAATGCAATTTTTTTTTTTTTTTGAGAGAGTCTCGCTCTGCCACCCAGGCTAGAGTATAGTGGCGTGATCTTGGCTGACTGCAACCTCCACCTCCCCAGTTCAAGTGATTCTCATGCCTCAGTCTCCCAAGTAGCTGGGATTACAGGTGCCAGCCACCATGCCCAGCTAATTTTTTGTATTTTTAGTAGAGATGGGGTTTCACCATGTTGGCCAAGCTGGTTTCCTGACCTCAAGTGATCCGCCCATCTCAGCCTCCCAAAGTGCTGGGATTACTACAGGCATGAGCCACTGCACCCGGCCTGGAAATGCAATTTATCGATTGTTTTGATAAACTCAGACATTTGCCATTCAGATAGAGATGTGGCATCATTGCTTGTTCAAACTTTAAAAGCCTTTCCACCTTAGAAATGTTCATTGCATAGGGCCGGGCAAGGTGGTTCACGCCTGTAATCCCAGCACTTTGGGAGGCTGAGGTGGGCGGATCACAAAGTCAGGATCACGAGACCAGCCTGACCAACATAGTGAAACCCCATCTCAACTAAAAATATAAAAAATTAGCCAGGCATGGTGGCAGGTGCCCGAAATCTCAGCTACTCGGGAAGCTGAGGCAGGAGAATTGCCTGAACCCTGGAGGCAGAGGTTGCAGTGAGCCAAGATCGTGCCACTGCACTCAAGCCTGGGTGACAGTGCGAGACTCCACCTCAAAAAAAAAAAAAAGAAGAAGAAAAAAGAAATGTTCATTGCATAACCCCAATCCAAGACCACACTAAAGTCCCAAGATTCAAAGATGAGGTTTCCAAAACCTTGAGTGGCTTCAGCCATTTGCTAAGTGCCAACCAGGCACTTTACATGGTGTATGGGTGGCTAATGACATGGGGAGATGGCAGTGTGCAGCCATGCAAACCAGACAGTGTGGTTTTGGCAACTGGAAGGAATTGAAGACCTGCACAGTGTCTTTGGACCTGCAGCATCTCAGAATGAGCTATGAGCTGGGGGCAGCTGGACTCCCCCACCATAACCCTGGACGTTGAAACTACCCCAGACTCGTGGGACTCAGGTGCCACCAAGAGGCCTCACTCTCTTTTTAACTCATCCAGAATTTGTTTGCAGGCCCTGAGAGGGTCCATCTTCTCCTCTCTCATCACCATCACGTGATGACACCCGTACCTTTATAGTTGGCATTTTCCAGGCTGCTGATCACCTCAGTCATATCCCGGGAGTTGTCGTTCAGGACAGACATGAGGACTTTGGGCTCTGAGGCAAAGGTGATAATGGCAACGCTCACATTGATCTCAAAGCTGAAGATCTGTGCGGGGCAAGTGAGAGGCAGCGTAAAGGGCCCTGAAGCCAAAGGGGAGATGGTAAGAGAGCAAACAAAGGGCCCTGGAGGAGGCAGAGAAACTGGAGTGAGACCGACAGAGGCAAGGACCAGGGGAGACACTAGGAAATGGCTGTTAGGAAGAAGCTAGGGGCTGGGCGCGGTGGCTCATGCCTGAATCCCAACACTTTAGGCAGGTGGATCACCTGAGGTCAGGAGTTCGAGACCAGCCTGACCAACATGGCAAAACCCATCTCTACTAAAAATACAAAAATTAGCCTGGTATGGTGGCAAGCACCTATAATCCCAGCTACTCAGGAGGCTGAGGCAGAAGAATCACTTGAACCCAGGAGGCAAAGTTTGCAGTGAGCTGAGATCGCACCACTGTACTCCAGCCTGGGTGACAGAGACTCTATCTCAAAAATAATAATAATAATAATAATAATAAAAATAAGGAACAGCAGCAGCTAAGGAAGAAACCTTTGTTGAACATCTTTCTCTTTGACAGACTCTCTTCACTCCACCCTGTGAGGGGCATGATGACCCCTATTTTATGGATAAGGAAACTGAGGTATGTTGCCTTGTCCCCCTTCCCCCATCACACCATGAGGAGGAGGTGGAAGTGGGATCTGAATGTGTCACATGATTCTCAATCACTGCTCCAACTGGTGTGTGTTGCCGCCTCGCAGTGCAATGAGTTACTTAATTTTGAGTCCCAAGAGAGCACAGAAACTGCCCTCTTTAAAATGTAGCTGGGAGGGAAAACCATCTATAATGTTACATGAAGTATTGTGAAAAGCACAATTACAAAACAAAGTTCTGGCGAGGAACTTAAACCAGTGGCTTCCAAACTTCTATCACACATATTTTATTTTATTTTATTTTATTTTATTTATTTTTTTGAGACAGAGTTTTGCTCTAGTTGCCCAGGCTGGAGTGCAATGGCGTGATCTCAGCCCACTGCAACCTCCACCTCCCGGATCCAAGCGATTCTCCTGCCTCATCCTCCCAAGTAGCTGGGTTACAGGCGTGCGCCATCACATGTGGCTAATTTTGTATTTTTAGTATAGACAGGGTTTCATCATGTTGGTCAGGCTGGTCTCAAACTCCTGACCTCAAGTGATCCACCTGCCTCGGCCTCCCAAAGTGTTGGGATTACAGGCACTAGCCACCATGCCCAGTCTATCACACACATTTTAAAGCCTGCACAAAATGTTGAAGTTTTAAAAGGAAATTATTAAATATTAAATTATTAATCTGATTTAAATTATTCCACAGGGGCACCAGTATTTTTCTGCTTCACTCCTGTGGGTTATCTCACTACCTTTCTGTGGAGACCACTGTTCTAGATGATGAATTCCTGGAAAGTAAGACCTCAGCCTTTCCATCTTTGCTGTCGCCCAGCCCCAGCACAGTGTCCCAACAGTGCTTGTGGAATAAAAATTATGATTGTATAAATTGAATTCATGATTCCTACATGGCATGAGTATAATCTGAGAAGACTTCTTGGAGGAGGTGGGCTGTGAGTGGGGTTCTGAGGAGGGGAAGGAGACAGAGAGAGATAGTGAGCACAGGAAGGCCTCTGCTGCAGGCAGACTCCTGATTCCTGACCCTGTCCACCATGAGGGAGGCGCTCTCCTTGAAGATGAGAAAGTCATTTTCCGACACACTCTGCGAACAGTCCAGGAGCAGGTAGAGGTTCAGATGACCAGAGCGCTGGATTTGGATTTTACGGCCCAGGCTTTCTGGAGAAATGTGGAAGGGGAGGATTCAGATCCCCACCTCCTTCCTGCGCTCTCGCCAAGCAGGTCCAGCTTCTCTGCCTCCCTCCCTTTCAGTGGCTGAGCCCACCAAGGCTCCTGGCCTCCAGGAAGGTTGCATCCTCCCTTGCTCCGGCCCAGATCCAGCACCCTGCTCAACCAGAAACCCCACCTCAAACACTCACCCTTTGTCTTCTGGGTGGGATTGGTGGCCCCAAGCATGTGGGAGAAGGAAGTGCCCAGGGCAGGGGCCACGTCCTCAGGGAAGTCATAAGAGTAGGGTTCTGTGGGGAGAGCCACACAGGAGTCAGCCGGGGCAGTGGCCGGGTGTGCCGAGGAATCTCAGGAGGGCAGGGCAGCTACTCACGGCGGCAGATGGGCTCCGTTCCACTCCAGACCCCGTTGCCCTGGCACTCCCGCTCCGAAGACCCCGTGAGCACAAGATTCGAGGAGCAGCGATAGCGGACCTTGTCCCCATGACCAAAGCGGAAGCCTGTCCGCACTGCGCCCAGTGAAATGCCTGGGTTGGGGCAGTGGCCAGCTGCGAGTGAACAAAGGAAGGCAGAGGTGAGTAGCCCCCTCCCATCAGGCTCTGCCTCCTCAGCGGCCTCAGTTGCCAGCAGAAGCTTCCCAGTTCCAACCCAGGGATGCACCCATGTCTGTCCCAGAGCCCCCAGAGACCCAGGGAAGAAGTCAGCTGATGGTCCCTCCACTCCTTCAGAGAACATTTATATTTCATAAACCACAGTGAGGCATCCCTACACACCCATCAAAACGGCTAACACTGAAACAACAGGTAATTCCAAGTGTTGGAGAGGATGCAGAGCGACTGGCACTCTGTTACCTTGCTGGCATGTACGTGGGTGAAACTTTCTCAGCCTCTACTACAACTAAACATATGCCAGCCTGTGATGTGACAATTCCACATTTAGATCATTTACTCAAGAGAAGCAAGTGCATACATGTACCAAAATCACATGCAAGAATGTTCCTAGAGCTCCCTCTCCCTCACCCTCTCCCCATGGTCTCCCTCTCCCTCTCTTTCCACGGTCTCCCTCTGATGCCGAGCCGAAGCTGGACGGTACTGCTGCCATCTCGGCTCACTGCAACCTCCCTGCCTGATTCTCCTGCCTCAGCTTGCCGAGTGCCTGCGATTGCAGGCGCGCGCCGCCACGCCTGACTGGTTTTCGTATTTTGTTAGTGGAGACGGGGTTTCGCTGTGTTGGCCGGGCTGGTCTCCAGCTCCTAACCGCGAGTGATCCACCAGCCTCGGCCTCCCGAGGTGCTGGGATTGCAGACGGAGTCTCGTTCACTCAGTGCTCAATGATGCCCAGGCTGGAGTGCAGTGGCGTGATCTTGGCTCGCTACAACCTCCACCTCCCAGCAGCCTGCCTTGGCCTCCCAAAGTGCCGAGATTGCAGCCTCTGCCCGGCCGCCACCCCGTCTGGGAAGTGAGGAGCGTCTCCGCCTGGCCACCCATCGTCTGGGATGTGAGGAGCCCCTCTGCCTGGCTGCCCAGTCTGGAAAGTGAGGAGCGTCTCTGCCCGGCCGCCATTCCATCTAGGAAGTGAGGAGCGCCTCTTCCCGGCCGCCATCACATCTGGGAAGTGAGGAGCGTCTCTGCCCTGCCGCCCATCGTCTGAGATGTGGGGAGCACCTCTGCCCGGCCGCCCCATCCGGGATGTGAGGAGCGTCTCTGCCCGGCCGCCCCGTCTGAGAAGTGAGGAGACCCTCTGCCTGGCAACCGCTCCATCTGAGAAGTGAGGAGCCCCTCCGCCCGGCAGCCGCCCTGTCTGAGAAGTGAGGAGCCCCTCCGCCCAGCAGCCACCTGGTCCGGGAGGGAGGTGGGGGGGTCAGCCCCCCGCCCGGCCAGCCGCCCCGTCCGGGAGGGAGGTGGGGGGGTCAGCCCCCAGCCCGGCCAGCCGCCCCGTCCGGGAAGTGAGGGGCGCCTCTGCCCGGCCGCCCCTACTGGGAAGTGAGGAGCCACTCTGCCCGGCCAGCCGCCCCGTCCGGGAGGGAGGTGGGGGGGTCAGCCCCTCGCCCGGCCAGCCGCCCCATCCGGGAAGTGAGGGGCGCCTCTGCCCGGCCGCCCCTGCTGGGAAGTGAGGAGCCCCTCTGCCCGGCCAGCCACTCTGTCCGGGAGGGAGGTGGGGGGGTCAGCCCCCCGCCCGGCCAGCCGCCCCGTCCGGGAGGGAGGTGGGGGGGTCAGCCCCCCGCCCGGCCAGCCGCCCTGTCCGGGAGGTGAGGGGCGCCTCTGCCCGGCCGCGCCTACTGGAAAGTGAGGAGCCCCTCTGCCCGGCCACCACCCCGTCTGGGAGGTGTACCCAACAGCTCATTGAGAAGGGGCCATGATGACAATGACGGTTTTGTGGAATAGAAAGGGGGGAAAGGTGGGGAAAAGATTGAGAAATCGGATGGTTGCCGTGTCTGTGTAGAAAGAGGTAGACCTGGGAGACTTTTCATTTTGTTCTGTACTAAGAAAAATTCTTCTGCCTTGGGATCCTGTTGATCGGTGACCTTACCCCCAACCCTGTGCTCTCTGAAACATGTGCTGTATCCACTCAGGGTTGAATGGATTAAGAGCGGTGCAAGATGTGCTTTGTTAAACAGATGCTTGAAGGCAGCATGCTCCTTAAGAGTCATCACCACTCCCTAATCTCAAGTACCCAGGGACACAAACACTGCGGAAGGCCGCAGGGTCCTCTGCCTAGGAAAACCAGAGACCTTTGTTCACTTGTTTATCTGCTGACCTTCCCTCCACTATTGTCCTGTGACCCTGCCAAATCCCCCTCTGTGAGAAACACCCAAGAATGATCAATTAAAAAAAAAAAAAAAAAAAGAATGTTCCTAGAGCTTTACTCCTAATGGCCCCAAACTGGAAATAATCCAAATGTCCATCAGGAGGGGAATGGATAAATTGTAATATACCCATATAATGGAATACTACACAGCAATAAAAAAGAACAAAGTACTGATACACACAACAGCATGGATAAATCTCACAGGCAGAATATAGAACAAAGGATGCCAGAAGCAACAGACCACATCCCGCATGATTCCATTTACAGGAAATGTAAGCACAAGGTACCTAGTCCATGGAGACAGAGGTCAGAAGAGCAGTTACCTTGTGGGAGGGGACAAGAGGGAACCTCATTCTGTCTTGGGTGGTGATTAGATGAGTGGATGCATTGTAACAAATCATTGAGCTGAATAGTTAAGATTTGTACATTTTACAATAGGTAAATTATGCCTCAATTTTAAAATAAGTTAGAGTCACGTCTAATAATTCAAGCATTACTTATCACAGTCTTACCAGGCATCTACTTCACCCTCCTACAGAATAAATGGCCATTTGCCAAAACCCAAGGGCATGAGTGGGGATCCATGGTCTGGGCCACTAGGTGAAGGTGGTCCTGCCATCTTGTGGACTCCGTGTCTTCTGTATGATGTGCTAAGAACCATGATCCAAGAAGCTCCCAAACCCACAGGCAAATGCAGCTCCAGGGAATCCTAGGAGCCCTACTTCTGCCAAGCAGAGCCCCTCACCATTCACAGGGGCAGCAATAACTATGACAAAAGTGCTTATGGCCAGGTGTGGTGGCACATGCCTGCATTCCCAGCTACTGAGGAGGCTGAGGTAGGAAGATCACTTGAGCTCAGGAGTTTGAAGCCAGCCTTGGCAACACAGCGAGATCCTGTCTCTTAAAGAAACAAAAACAAGGCCGGATGCCGTGGCTCACGCCTGTAATCCCAGCACTTTGGGAGGCCAAGGTGGGCAGAATCCCCTGAGGTCAGGAGTTTGAGACCAGCCTGGCCAACATGGAGAAACCCTGTCCCTACTAAGAATAGAAAATTACCGAGGCATGGTGGCGCATGCCTGTAATCCCAGCTTCTTGGGAGGCTGAGGCAGGAGAGTCACTTGAACCCGGGAGGCAGATGTTGCGGTGAGCTGAGATTGCGCCATTGCACTCCAGCCTGGGCAACAAGAGCTAGACTCCGTCTCAAAAAAAAAAAAAAGTGTACATGGCATTTATCAGATTCCAGGGGCTGTTTTTTTTGTTTTTTGTTTGTTTGTTTGTTTGTTTGTTTTGAGACAGAGTCTCACTCTGTCACCCAGGCTGGAGTGCAGTGGCACGATCTCGGCTCACTGCAACCTCTGCCTCCCAGGTTCAAGTGATTCTCCTGCCTCAGCCTCCTGAGTAGCTGGGATTAACCACGCCCAGCTAATTTTTGTATTTTTAGTATAGACGAGGTTTCACCACGTTGACCAGGCTGGTCTCAATCTCCTGACCTCAGGTGATCCACCCACCTCAGCCTCCCAAAGTGCTGGGATTACAGGCGTGAGGCACCGAGGCTGGCATTTTTTTTTTTTTTTTTTTTTTTGAGACAGAGTCTTACTCTGTCACTCAGGCTGGAGTGCAATGATGCAATCTCGGCTCACTGCAATCTCCACTTCCTGGTTCAAATGATTCTCCTGCCTCAGCCTCCTGAATAGCTGGTATTACAGGCATGCGCCACCGCACCCGGCTAATTTTTGTATTTTTACTAGAGACGGGGTTTCACCATGTTGGCCAAGCTGGTCTCAAACTCCTGACCTTGTGATCCACCCCCCTTGGCCTCCCAAAGTGCTGGGATTACAGGCGTGAGCCACCGCACTCCAGGGCTGTTGTATATGCTTACTAATGTCAACTCATTTAATCCAGATGGCAATCTCAGGTCAGCACTCACTATCCTTGTCTTACAGATGGGAAAACTGAGGGCTAGAAAGGTTAAATAGCCTTCCCAAAGTCTGTCAAAGTCAGAGTAGGGCTTGGAACCCAAACCTGGCTTTAAAGGCAAGGCATTAAAGCACAGTACTTGACTCTCTCCCAGCATATCTTCCCTACAACAATCTGTGGGGCCTGAATATGAAGTCTTGCTTTGAGGCACTTAGAAAAGCCAGGCAGAGTGTGTGGAGGCTTTATGCTACATCTGAAGCTTAGCACCAGCTGCCTGGGGCCTGGCCCTTGCAGACTTGTGATGTGTGACCTGTAGACCTCAATTTACCAAAATCCAGGAATATTATTATGGCACACTGAACAACAGACTCCTATCCCCACAGAGGCTTCCTGGATGCACATTGGGCCCCAGGGTTCCCCAGGAGACCCCAGCCCCCTGTGTAGCCCATCAGCCAGAGAACTCACCCCCATTATCACACACAGCTGTTTCTCCATCCCACATGCCGTTGGGGCGACACTGACGCACAGGCGAGCCCCGCAATATGAAGCCATCCTCACACTCGAAGCTCACATTGCCACCCACGGGATAGGACCCCAGCCGTGGGGTATAAATGCCATTCTCAAAGGAGACAGGGGCTGGACAGCGCACAGCTGGAGAGAGAGGAAGTGGGTGGGGAATATAGGACTGGATGGATAACACCTGGGCTGGGGATTAAGCAGGTGATTTTATGCTGGAATGCATGGGAATGGTCAACTGGCTGTCAAAACACTGAAATATTAGGTTGCAACATGTGAAATTGCTGTTTTTGGCAACTGATTGAATATTGCCAATTTCACAGAGTCTAAGCGAACTGATTGATAAATAGCCACTTCCCTCAGTCTCCTGAGGGCCGTGGCCTCCCCAGACACTCCCCTTGGGATCCTCAGATGTCTAGAGGACTCCAGGACCATTCAGCATCTGTTCTGAATGGTCACTACTAGGCAGTCAATTGTACATAAAAAGTCATCCCTGGCTTTAGTACCCCACAGTCTCCATCAAGACCTGTTCCCAATTCCTTGCTACTGGCAATTGACATTTTCTGGATATTTTGAAAAGCCCTCTGCAAAAGCAACTTTGCCATCTAGTCAGGTTAAGTCCCACCCTGAGCAACTCCTAAACAAAAGTTCTGGGGTGGCCCCTGGTGTAGCACCCTGAGCAAAGCCCACAGGGAGCCTCACGTTTGCAGACCGCCTTAGACAGAGACCGGGTGGCTCCTGGGGTCTGCCACTGTCCGCTGCTCTTGCACAGCCGTGATGCTGGGGATGGGTACAGGCCCTGGGGGCAGGAGTAGGTGAGAAGGCTCCCAGGAGCCCAGCCATGGCTGAGGGTGAAGGTGCCACCCGAGATATTCACGTTCTGAGGGCAGGAGGGAGCCGAGTCTGCCAGACCTAGAGCCGTGGGAACAAGGAGACAGCAATGGAGAAAGAAGGAAGACACAGATGAGAAAAGGAAAGCAAAAGAGACTGTTTCACACATGGGAATTCAAGCTGGGAGCACCAACCTCACACACAGGACCCTGACGTTCCCCCTTCCCTGCCTCCTACCTGGGTACAGGAACAGCAGGCAAAAAAGAACCATCAGTGGGCCCATGGTGTCCTCCCTAGGGGCGGCGAGAGGTAGAGAGCCGCGGGAGGGAAAAGGTCATCTGACTTCCCGAAAACTAGAGCTGGGTCAGCAGCTGCTTCATTGCTGCCAGAGAAGAAAAACCAGGGAGTGGCAAGGGGGATGGTCTTCTGTTAGGGAAATAATAAGCAGGGATTGGGGACTGAACTGAAGGGTGAAACCTTTGCCCTGTCTCCCTGATGCTAATATATCTATAGGGTCAATAGATCTCCCCCACAGGCTTTGTGTACTGCCCCCACGCTCCACCCACCCATGCGTGCACATGTGCACCATACACGCATGCTCACAAACACGCAGGCAAACACATATTTGGGCTCGTGTGTGCACACATGCACCTTGCTCTTGTGTGAATAGTCAATAGTCTAAAGCACACAAACCCACAAACCATCCAAGATATTGCAAAATATTTCATTTAAGTAAAGTTTTAGTGTTCTTTTGGGTTGTACCAAGTGGGTTTTACTTCCTGAGAGCCTAGAACAGTTCTGTCTTCTTGAAGATAAACTTCCGAGGGGGGTGAAACTAATTTTTTTAGAACTTCTTGATAAATAGGAAGATTGACAATACTTTTTTATTCCCTACAATCCTTCCCTAGAGATAATCTAGGTGGAAAAAATGAAATCAACACTTAGTTTTGGAGACAGGAAAAATGTTTACAACATTTTTACGGAAAGTCTAGTAGATGAAATTCCCAACTGGCAAAGTAAATACATTTGGGGTTGGTTACTCAAAGGAATAAAACTTTTGCGGGGGCTGGGATATGCCTTTAAATCATAACCTACACTTGTATGAAATGCAGGAAGCAAAGAAACTTGAAGCTAGTGTGTTAGTCTCCCTGACCCACAGAAGTCTTTTCAATACCTTTTTGAACAACGTAGGGTAAAAATAAATAAGACCAATAAAAAAATGAACATGAAACCTCTCTGAAGTGATCATTTAGGTTCGTAAAAACCCTTTTGATTTATAAGTGAGTCCTTAGAGAACTGATTGAACCTAGAAGATGGAGGTTGCAGTGAGCCAAGATTGTGCCACTGCACTCCAGCCTGGGCAACAGAGTAAGACTACATCTCAAAAAGAAAAAAAAAAAATAAGACCGGGCACAGTGACTCACGCCTGTAATCCCAGCATTTTGGGAGGCTGAGGCGGGTGGATCATGAGGTCAGGAATTTGAGACCAGCCCGGCCAACATGGTGAAACCCCGTCTCTACTAAAATTACAAAAAATTAGCCGGGTGTGGTGGCAGGGGCCTGTAATCCCAGCTACTCGGGAGGCTGAGGCAGGAGAATCACTTGAACCCGGGAGGCAGAGGTTGCAGTGAGCCAAGATCATGCCACTGCATTCCAGCCTGGGTGACAAGAGCAAGACTCTGTCTCAAAAAAAAAAAAAAAGAGTACACAAATTGAGACTCCCCTTGGACAGGGCTAAGTGCATGAAAATCAGGACATCCTGGTGTTAGGGACTCCAAAGTGGCTGCTGTGGCAGAGCTGCTAGTGCCTCCCCTGCCCCTCAAGTATCTTTTCTCCCTCCTTCCACAGTAAGAGATGGTTAGGGGAACATACAGTCACCCAGCTAAAGACCATATTTCCTAGCTTCCCTTGCAGCTAGGTAGCCAGGTGACTTGGTTCTGGCTAATGGGATGTTAGTAGAACTTATGTATGTCATTTCCAAGTTATGTCCCTAAAATAAAAAGGCAGTGTGCCTTTTCTTTTCATGGGCTGGAATATAAACCTAGCGGAGATCCGTCTTCCACCAGGAGGATGAGGGCAACATGCTGGGGATGACAGAGCAAACAGACAGAGGAGCCTGGGTGTCTGACACAGTGTTGATGTCATACCAGCCCTGCACAGCCACTTAGATTGTTACAAGAGAGAAATAAACTATCGTAAAGGTGGGGGGTATTTAAGGATGTTCACAAATACTGTAGCCTTGTCTTCTTTCAATCACATGGTAGGATAGGATTTCCCCAGCCACTTGTTTTAGCCAATAAGATGTGAGTACAAGTGATATGTATCACTTCCTGATGGAAGCTCAATGTAGTCTTCACCCTGCTCTTCCCCTCTGTATGGTAACGTCTGAGATGGTGGCTGCTCCACCAGCCAAGATCCCTGGGTGATATCGAAAGCACAGTACCAGCCGGGCACAGTGGCTCACACCTGTAATCCCAGCACTTTGGGAGGCCGAGGCAGGGGGATCACCTGAGTTCAGGAGTTAGAGACCAGCCTGACCAACATGGTGAAACCCCATCTCTACTAAAAATACAAAAATTAGCTGGGCGTGGTGGCATACGCCTGTAATCCCAGCTGCTCAGGAGGTTGAGGTAGGAGAATCGCTTGAACCCGGGAGGCAGAGATTGCAGTGAGCCGAGATCACACCACTGCACTTCAGCCTGGGTGACATAGGGAGACTCTGTCTCAAAAAAGAAAAAAAAAGCGCAATACTCGGCTGACTCTCAGTGGATAAGTAATATGACCAAAAAATAAACCTTTGTTATTTTAATTCATTGCATTTCTACTAATGCAGGAAAAAAAGTACCCACCCAATATGTAGGAAATTTAAAAATGATTTATTCTTTCTCATATTGGCCAGAAGGTTCTTCTGCTGATCTTCCATGCAGCGGCAGTCAGCTAGGGGCTGAGTTCAGTTAACAGTAGGACAGCAGGTCCTTCCTCCCTAGCCCTCATAGCATGGCAGTCTCAGGACAACTTCTGAGGAATCCAAAACATAAGCTGCAAGGTCTCTCGAGGCCTAGCCCCAAAAGTCACATAACATCACTTCTGCCACATTCTATTGGTCAAAGCAAATCACAAGGTCAGCCCAGATTTAAGACTGGAGGCATAGAATTTACCTCTTGATAGGAGGAATGGCAAAGTCACACGGCAAAGGGGCAGGCACATCAGAATAGGAGAGACTGATGGCTATATTTTGTAAGCCCTCCTATGGCAACAAATATTTCTAGGT
Source organism: Homo sapiens (assembly GCF_000001405.40). Lineage (NCBI taxonomy): Eukaryota > Metazoa > Chordata > Mammalia > Primates > Hominidae > Homo > Homo sapiens. The sequence goes on along the minus strand of NT_167249.2, from coordinate 3,226,003 downwards.
TGTTGGTTACCAGAACGTAATGAAGCCTAACCTGACTGAACATTCAAATCACTAAACTTTGGGTGCCTTTTAAAGCCATCAAACTAATATGTAACAGCTGCCTTCAAAAGAAAGGGCCTTTCTTTCATGAGTTTTTCCCAGTATTTGTTGAGCTACATCAACTTGGCACAGTGTGGCAGAATTCATTCTCTCTTCCTGCTTAAGTAATAAAACTCCCAAGTTTTCTGGGCCCACAGAGTATGTTCTTAAGGAGAAGTGTTTACTCCTCAATGTATAAAACTTCTTCCCTTCCCACCAGCTGGAATGTGGACAGAATGGTGGACTCTGGAACAGCCACCTAGATCACAAAATGGAAGTCACATGTGGATGATGATAAAGAAACAAAATTAAAGAGGCCCTGCTCTCCAATCCTGTAGAGCTAATAGGATTGACCTGGACCACTTATGCTCAGACCATTTAAGCTGCTGTTATTCTAGCTTGGTTATAACAAAGCCAAACCATGTCTAACTGATATACCTAGCAAGAAATCAATGTGAGAGCCAAAGGCAACACTCAGAGAAGTGTGTTTATTAGGATACACGTTAAACTTCTGTAATAAAGAGACCCTAAAATACAGTAACTTAAATAAGATAGAATTTTGCTGCACTTTCAAATAAGAGCCTCAGAGGCCGGGCGCGGTGGTTCACGCCTGTAATCCCAGCACTTTGGGAGGCCGAGGCGGGTGGATCACAAGGTCAGGAGATCGAGACAATCCTGGCTAACACGGTGAAACCCCGTCTCTACTAAAAAATACAAATAATTAGCCGGGCGCGGTGGCAGGCGCCTGTAGTCCCAGCTACTCGGGAGGCTGAGGCAGGAGAATGGCAGGAACCCGGGAGGCAGAGTTTGCAGTGAGCTGAGATCGCGCTACTGCACTCCAGCCTGGGAGACAGAGCGAGACTCCATCTCAAAAAAAATAAATAAATAAGAGCCTCAGAGGCCGGGTGCGGTGGCTTACGCCTGTAATCCCAGCACTTTGGGAGGCCGAGGCGGGCGGATCACGAGGTCAGGAGATCGAGACCATCCTGGCTAACATGGTGAAACCCTGTCTCTACTAAAACTACAAAAAAAAAAAAATTAGCTGGGTGTGGTGGCGGCGCCTGTAGTCCCAGCTACTCGGGAGGCTGAGGCAGGCGAATGGCGTGAACCCGGGAGATGGAGCTTGCAGTGAGCGGAGATCGTGCCACTGCACTCCAGCCTGGGTGACAGAGCAAGACTCCATCTCAACAAAAAAAAAATAAAAACAAAATAAGAGGCTCAGGGTAAGCAGACAAGGCTGAGATGGCGTGTGTGGCCCTGGCTGGCAGAGCTGCTCATCAGCCTCCTTCAGGCCTCCAGCTTCCTTCCATCTGTGGTTCATGCCTTTGGAAATTGTCCTTGTCTGCATGGTTGAAACAGGGTCTCCATCAAGTCTGCCTCCCACCCCACTCTTCCATTCATATTCCATTGGCAAAAAGTCAGTTATAGTCCACTGTCAGCTCTCCAGGAGGCCCAGTCGAATGTGGAAGGACCATGACCTGACCTGTGGGGCTAAAGATGCCAGACCTTTATTCCCCTCGGCACTCCCGATTAGCTTTTCAGTAGACCCCACCAGATGAGGGCGACCTTGGCTTCTCTATTTCTTGTACCATTCAAAAGCCCAGCAAATGTAACCGTGTTTTCACTCCAGGTAGAGGGAAGCAGGTGAATAATATCTAAAAAACAGACATGCCTCTCCTGCCAGCTTCTTCCATCTTGTCCAAATTTCTTCTTATCAATTCTAGGCTTCTAATATCTGCTTCCAAGGGTACAATTCCAAAGAGAAAAAACCAATACCCCAATTCTGTACTTCATCTCCTAGTCAGAGTTGGATTTTTGCTTTTGGTTTTTTTGGTTTTTTGTTTTTGAGACAAAGTCTTGCTTTGTTGCCCAGGCTGGAGTGAAGCAGTACGATCTCGGCTCACTGCAACCTCCACCTCCTGGGTTCAAGGGATTCTCCTGCCTCAGACTCCCAAGTAGCTGGGATTACAGGCATGTGCTACCATGCCCAGCTAATTTTTGTATTTTTAGTAGAGATGGGGTTTCACCATGCTGGTCAGGCTGGTCTCAAACTCCTGACCTCAGGTGATCCACCTGCCTCTGCCTCCCAAAGTGCTGGGATTACAGGTGTGAGCCACTGTGCCAGGCCCCCTAATCAGAGTTTAAAAATCAGAAATGATGCTCTGATGGCCTCTCAGGATGCCTTATTCTCCCCTGGAGAGCTCAGCACCTTGCAGCTGAAAATTTCTGAGGAAACGTGGCATATAGCAGAGGCCGACCCCACTCTAGTGGCCAGTCTACTCCTTATCCAGTCTGGCCACTTGGGCATGGACTTCGCGGTCATCCTAGGATCTGCCACCCCTCAACCTTCTATGGCAACTGCAGGTCAACCCCCAAATTGGAAAACTAGTCTGGCTTGGCCTGGTTCACAGCCTTAATGTGTGACTTTAGATGGGGATTCAGCATTGCTCTGCAAGCCTCTTGGTGGTTTTAGTGGATCTGTCCTTGCCCCACCATATCCCTTGGGCCTTATCACTGGGGTGCTCCACTGACTTCCAGCTGCAGCATCTCTGTCTCTACCCAAGGATTGTTTTTGGTGTCCTGCACCATCTGTGCACAGAAAGCTGGAAATGACAGAGAATTAAGGCCTTCAACCAATGACTGATTGGTATAAATACTGGGCTCCCTCACCCTGGACCATGGGATAACTCTGCACCACTCCAGGGTTCCTGAGTGGGATTGACCTCCACTCACCCACAATGGTAAATTTGCCTGATAACACACCCTTCATTGACTGCCTTCCTTCTCTATCACACTCCACTACCCATGTTTCTTGCGATCACCTCCAGAATGCACTGTCTGCACTGGAACCCTTGTCTCCAGGTCTGCTTCTGGGGGAGGAAGACTTCATATTAGCAGGACATAGTGCCAGACAGTATTTTTAAGTCTTAAATGTAGGTGCTCACTTAATCCTCACAGCAAGCTTATGACACAGGTTCTGTTGTTACTCCCACTTTACAGATGAGGGAACTGAGGCACACAAAGGTTAAGTGAGCTGCCCCAGGTTCATACAGGTACTAAGCAGCAGAGCCGGGATTCAAACCCAGGCAGCATGGCTCCTGGGTCCACACTCATAGCCACCAAGTGGTAGTGCCTCTTCCTCACGTCTTCTCTTTAGTGACTGCTGGGAGCTCCTTGCGCATCCCTGAAGTCTACCCCAGCCCCTTGCATTTCCAAGCCCTCTCTCCCCTAGGCTCTTTCCTCTTGGCACCCCCTCTCCCATAACACCTTCTTTTCCATCCTTCTCAAATCCCTCATCTTCCAGACTCCTACAAGACCTGTCCACGCCATTTCCCACCTTCTAGCTACTTGTGCACTTGTCTCAAGCTCCCCAGAGGAAGGATCCAGGAGTTTTTTTTTTAAACAATGAGCTATCCAAGTAAGGTCAAGCCAATGCCCTCCCCCATCCTATTTCCACCCCAAGTAAATAGCATCTTTCAGGTCAGCAACAGAATTGGCTTTGGTTTCTCATCCATTTCTTTTTTAATAAAAATATTTACATTGGGTCAGACCCCACCCATTTCCACACAAAGGCCTCTGCTAAGTTCCTCGGTACACACACCATCCCCCATCCTAGCAGGCACTGCCTACTAACTTTGAAGTGATTGCCCAACTATGATCTTGAGGAATCTCCACATACATCACCCTTAGAGCCTCAGAAAGGGTTTTGCCCTGCCCCATGGGGCTCCTCCCCATGCCCAGGCTCTTCCAGGGCCCTGGGCCTCAGAGGCCACCCTGCAGGCCCAGACACTGGGTTAGACACTGAACCTCCTGTCCTTGTCCATCCATTGCACAAACAATTCCTGAGAATGGAACGAGGAACTAAGGGGTGGGGTAGGGCCTCCCAAGAAACAGAAGGCCTGTCCCTGACCTCCTGTAGGCGCCATATCTCTTTCAGACAAAAACTCAACCTCTAAAGACTCACAGGCCTGGGGTGTACCAGGGTGTCCATCTGCCCACACCGCAGCTCTTACCTCAGCCCTCTGAGGTCTCCACTGTCCTTGGGCTGGTGGGGGGCATGGTGCATGTTATCACCCACTTCTTGCTACCCATCAGGGAAGCTGCCCTGGGTAACCCAGGTAAGAGGGTGGTAAACACAACTCAGGTGCTCAGGGGTCAGCTGAGGATGGGCCAGGGGGAGGGGTGGCCTATGGCTGAATTGCCCTGGCTCCGGTCCTCACCACCCCAACCCCAGCTCTGGGCTTAGCATTGGTGGCAGTGGGGGCCTCACTAGCCTCCTCTGCCCTTTCATTGAAAATTCCTCTCTAATGTTTTCCTTTATCCTGGGGAGTGGGGAGATATTCATCCCCTTCCCAGTTCTGGGTACCAGTACCCTCTTGACAAAAGGATAGCCTGGGGCTCACATGGGAGAATCCTCCTGCCCTCACTCCTCCAGTGCTGCCAAGGGGTGAAGAGGGAACTTGCCCAGTAGAAAGACATACGTTCATGCCTTGCTTTCCTGCCCAACACAAATGAAAGGTTATACCTGAGAAGAGCTCCTCCTGCCCCGTCTCTGGCCCCAGCCCCAGTGTGGTATGAGGAATTCAGGCTTTGACTTAAGACAGCCTGGAACCTCAGGTTTGGCTTGGCAAATTCATTAGCTATTTCGTAGCCTTACTCACCCTGTTTTGTCACCTGTCATCCACAGAACCAACAGCAAAATACACTCCCCTTAAGGTTACCTTTGAGAATTAGGACCATCAAAAGGAGAAGATCGGCTACCCTACAGGTATAAAAGGTACCAGGATATTTGCTTTAGCATTCACTGTTACCAAGAGGAAATGTTTGGAAACTCCCACGTCCATTAATAGGGGACAGACACAGCACATTGTGGTATGGGGACAACTGAATACTACGCAGTCTCTGCAAGCTTAAGGCTTATCTGTGTGTACAGAGCTGAATGTCTCCAGATATATATGTTATATAATATACACTTTTAAACTAGATAGACATTCAGAACTGTATGTATGGGATGCCACCATTTATGCAAAAAAAGGAGGGAAAGAGGATAGTAGCCACATATGCTCTCTGTGTGTATATAATTTCACTGGAAAAGTTTACAAAAAACTGGATAGGAGAGTTGCCTCTGGGGAGAACTGGGGGCTGGAAAATGAGGTGGGAGGTAAAGAAGGCAACTTAATTTTCACCAAATCCCCTTTATTACTCCTTGTAGTTTTCACTGGGTACATATGATACCTATTCAAGGCCAGGCCCAGTGGCTCACGCCTGTAATCCCAGCACTTTGGGTGGCCAAGGCAGGTGGATCACCTGAGGTCAGGAGTTTGAGACCAGCCTGACCAACATGGTGAAATCCCGTCTCTACTAAAAATACAAAAATTAGCCGGGTGTGTTGGCAGGCACTTGTCACCCCACCTACTCAGGAGGCTGAGGCAGGAGAATTGCTTGAACCTGGGAGGCAGAGGTTGCTGTGAGCTGAGATTGCACCACTGCACTCCAACCTGGGCAACAAGAACAAAACTCCGTCTCCAGAAAAAAAAAAAAAAGAAAAGAAAAGAAAAGAAAAGAAATACCCTACTGGACTATTAACAAGAGACCCTGATACAATCTCTCTGCAGATTAAGTTTTATTTTGTAAAATTTCAAACATATTGTAAAGTAGAGAGAATAGTAAAATGAACTTTCATGTATGTATCCATCATCTAGCTTCAGTTCATAGACGGTCTCGGTTCATAGACGGTCTGGGTTCATGTCTATATACCACCCACCAACCATTCCTTCCAGGAATTTTTTTTTTTTTTTTTTTTTTTGAGACAGAGTCTTGCTCTGTCACCCAGGCTGGAGTGCAGTGATGCAATCTCGGCCCACTGCAACCTCTGCCTCCCAGGTTCAAGCCTCCTGAGTAGCTGGGATTACAGGTGCCCGCCACTACACCCAGCTAATTTTTTTGTATTTTTAGTAGAGATGGGGTTTCACCAACTTGGCCAGGCTGGTCTTGAACTCCTGACCTCGTGATCCGCCCACCTCGGCCTCCCAAAGTGCTGGAATTACAGGCGTGAGCCACCGCTCCCAGCCAGGATTTTTTTTTTTTTTTAAGTTAAAGACAGGGTCTCACTGTCACCCAGGCTGGAGTTTAGTGGTGCAATCACAGCTCACTGTAACCACAAACTCCTGGGCTCACATGATCCTCCCACCTCAGCCTTCCAAGAAGCTGGGACAAGAAGCATGCATCACCATGCCCAGCTAATTTATTCATTTATTTACTTTTGTAAAGACAGGGGTCTCAGTATGTTGCCCGGACTGGCCTCAAACTCCTAGCTTCAAGTGATCCTCCTGCCTCAGTCTCCCAAAGTGTTAGGATTACAAGTGTGAGCCACTGTGCCTGGCCTCGAGGAATATTTTTTTTTTGAGATGGGGTCTTGCTTTGTTGCCCAGGCTGGAGTGCAGAGACCTGATCATAGCTCACGGCAGCCTCAAACTCCTGGGCTTCCACAATCCTCCCACCTCAGCCTCCTGAGTAGCTGAGATTACAGTCATATACCATCATACCAGGCTAAGTTTTTTTTAATTGTTTACTTTAATTAGAGATGAGGTCTTGCTATGTTTTCCAGGCTGGTCTTGAACTAGCCTCAAGCAATCCTCCAACCTAGGCCTCCCAAAGTGCTGGGAATTCATTAAAAATTTTTTTACGGAAAAGCTCAAATTTTTCATTTTAAAATATTTCTCTTTTTTCTTTTTTCAGAACATTTCTCACTTACATAAGAGCACATTTTCTTTCTCTTTTTTTCAGATAGAGTCTCTTTGTGTCACCCAGGCTGGAGTGCAATGGCGTGATCTCGGCTCACTGCAACCTCCGCCTCCCGGGTTCAAGCAATTCTCCTGCCTCAGCCTCCCAAGTAGCTGGGATTACAAACGGCTGACACCACGCCCAGCTAATTTTTGCATTTTTAGTAGAGACGGGGTTTCACCATGTTGGCCAGGCTGGTCTCCAACTCCTGGCCTCAGGTGATCCGCCTACCTCAGCCTCCCAAAGTGCTGGGATTACAGGCATGAGCCACCGCGCCTGGCCTTTTTTTCTTTTTTTAAAATTCCAACTTTTATTTTAGATACAGGGGGTACAGGTGCAGGTTTGTTACATGGGTATATTGCACTAGGTAGTCATAGAACCAATTAGGTAATTTTTTAACCCACACTCCCTCCCTCTCTCCCCTTCTAGTAGTCTTCAGTGTCTATTGTTCCTATATTTATGTCCATATGTGCTCAATATTTAGTTCCGTTATAAGTGAGAACATTAGGCATTTGGTTTTCTGTTCCTACGCTAATTCATTTAGGATTCTGTCCTCCAGCTCCATCCATGTTGCTGCAAAGGACATGATTTAATTTTTTTTTTTTATGGCTGCAAAACTATTTATCTTTCACTTCTTGGCTTTTACCAAAATAAAATGTTTCTTTTGAACTATAAATTTATAAAACATCTCATTGTTCTCTGTATCATAATTTTTTTCTTTTTTTTTTTTTTTCTGAGACAGAGTCTCACTCTGTCACCCAGGCTGGAGTGCAGTGGTGCCGTCTTGGCTCACTGCAACCTCCGCCTCCTGGGTTCAAGCGATTCTCCTGCCTCAGCCTCCCAAGTAGCTCGGATTACAGGTGCCCACCAGCACGCCGGCTAATTTTTGTATTTTTAGTAGAGACGAGGTTTCACCATGTTTGCCAGGCTGGTCTCAAATTCATGATCTCAGGTAATCCACCCGCCTCGGCCTCCCAAAGTGCTCAGATTACAGACATGAGCCACCACAGCCAGCCTTTTTTTTTTTTTTTTTTTTTGTTGAGATGGAGTCTCGCCCTGTCACCCAGGCTGGAGTACAGTGGCGCTATCTCAGCTCACTACAACTCCAGCCTGGGCAAAAGGAGCAAAACTCTGTCTCAAAAAAAAAAAAAAAAAGGGCAGAGAACTAATGCCCAGAGTCAACCTGCAATTATTGCAGAGTGGGAAGCAGTAGACAGATGCTCCTGCCTCCTGTCCTTCAGGTGGAAAGCGTCTGGAGACATTCAGCTCTCTCCTCAGGAGGGCCTGGGGGAATCGAACTCCACTGCACACAACAGTGACATCACTCTTTTTTTTTTTTTTTTTTTGAGACGGAGTCTCACTCTGTTGCCCAGGCTGGAGTGCAATGGTGCAATCTCTGCTCACCGCAACCTCCGCCTCCCAGGTTCAAGCAATTCTCCTGCCTCAGCCTCCCAAATAGCTGGGATGACAGGCACATGCCACCACGCCAGGCTAATTTTTGCAATTTTAGTAGAGACAGGGTTTCGTCGTGTTGGCCAGGCTGGTCTCGAACTCCTGACCTCAGGTGATCCACCCACCTCAGCCTCCCAAAGTGCTGGGATTACAGGCGTGAGCCACCATACCCGGCCAACATCATTCTCTTAAACTGGCCTTTCCTCCTTCAGGATCTCACACTCCCTATAGCCTCGCTTCTGCTTTCTGGGATCACCTAAATTAACTACCTACGGCCAAGTCCTGTCTCAAGCTCTGCTGTCAGGGTCACCAAAATTAAGATCATCCCTTTCCATCCTCCTCTCCCTATAAACTACTGCCCTTCTTCCACAAACTCCTTCCACGCCAGCAAACCCAGACTGTAACATTAACACAGAGTTATAATCCATCCATATACTGGTCTCTCCACATTCCTGGAGCACAAACTGCTAAAGGGTAGGAACGCTGTGACACGTTTGGTTCCCCCACTGTCCAGTGGGAGAGAGATATGTGAGCCAGTCAGCGCTACACCGAGTTGAGGCAGCCATTGAGGCTCTTCATGAATTTTCCCGTTTTCTGCCTTCCAGGCACATGATAGGATGGAATTCCTCAGCCCTCCTGAAGTTAGGCCACTGCAAGAGGCCTAACTGGCTTGCTTTGGCCAGTGAAATAAGAGCAGAAGTCACATGTGTTGTTACTGTCAGGCACAAGTATTTAACTGCCAATGTAACACAAGACACTCCAGCACCCTCTTTTGATGGAGCCTCCTTTGATCTGGATGCCTGAGTGACTATGATGATCAGAGACTCTAACACTCCTACTGACCCAACAGAGAGCAATAGTGAGAAATAAAACTGTTGTGTTAAGCTACTGAGATTCCAGGGTTGTTTGTTACTGCAGCATGATGTAGCCATCCTGACTGATACAAGCTGAGATAGGAGTCCATATAAAGTTCACAGGGACACAAACAGGGGAATATTAGGTCTCTCTAGAAGATCAGAAAGGTTTCATCAATGAACTTGAGATAGCCTTAAAAGATGAGTGTTTACCTGACAAGGAAGAGATGCAAGCATCCAGGTGAGCAATGAAACCCCAGAGCGCATTAAAGGAACTGCAAGTTCAGGACCTTTCAGGGCTGGGGAGGGAAGGAAGGCCACAATGACACTAGACCAGGGAGGAAGGAGAGAATGCCTTATGGAAGAAACAGCATTTACAGCTTGTAAGGCGATTTGCTATATGGAATTTTAGATAAGGAAGTGATATGATTTGATTTGCATTTCAGAAATATTATTCTGGAATCAGTATGTAGGGGCTGGAAGACCAGTTAAGAGACATTTAGAGTCCTGGCAAGACAACAGGGGCTAAAAGCAAGCACAGAAATGAGGAAGGGAAAGCCAGCACCAACGTTGAGGCATAGACCACGGGGCCCCTGAGCCCTCCTCTGACTCTCAGAACACCTGGGTGTCTTATCACATTGCACCATGACTGCTTGTTCATTGTTTTTGTTGTTGTTGTTGTTGTTGTGATGGAGTCTTGCTCTGTCGCCCAGGCTGGAGTGCAGTGGTGTGATCTTGGCTCACTGCAAGCTCCGCCTCCCGGGTTCACGCCATTCTCCTGCCTCAGCCTCCCAAGTAGCTGGGACTACAGGCGCCTGCCACCACGCCTGGCTAATTTTTTTGTATTTTTAGTAGAGACGGGGTTTCACCGTGTTAGCCAGGATGGTCTCCATCTCCTGACCTCGTGATCCACCCGTCTCGGCCTCCCACAGTGCTGGGATTACAGGCGTGAACCACCGCGCCCGGCCGATTGCTTGTTCATTAACTATAGTCTTCTTTTTTTTTTTTGAGACGGAGTCTCACTCTGTTGCCCAGGCTGGAGTGCAGTGGCACGATCTCGGCTCACTGCAACCTCTGCCTCCTAGGTTCAAGCGATTCTTCTGCCTCAGCCTCCCAAGTAGCTGGGACTACAGGCATACACCACTACGCCCAGCTAATTTTTGTATTTTTAGTAGAGATGGGGTTTCACCATATTGGCCAGGCTGGTCTCGAACTCCTGACCTCATGATCCGCCCTCATGATCCGCCCACCTCGGCCTCCCAAAGTGCTGGGATTACAGGAGTGAGCCACCGCGCCCGGCCACTCAGGCAGGATTTCTATGTGACAGTCTTGAGGCAGAATTCCTTCTCTGGGAAACCTAAGTCCTTGCTCTTTAGGCCACAATATCAAGAGTAATCTCCTGGCTGGGCGTGGTGGCTCACACCTGAAATCCCAGCACTTTGAGAGGCCGAGGCAGGCGGATCACAAGGTCATGAGATTGAGACCATCCTGGCCAACATAGTGAAACACGGTGAATACAAAACTTAACTGGGCGTGTTGGCATGTGCCTGTAATCTCAGCTACTTGGGAGGCTGAGGCAGGACAATCACTTGAACCAGGGAGTCGGATCGCAGGTTGCAGTGAGCCAAGATCGCGCCTGGGTGACAGAGCGAGATTCTGTCTTAAAAAAAAAAAGGGCCAGGCACGGTGGCTCATGCCTGTAATCCCAGCACTTCTGGAGGCCAAGGCGGGCAGATCACGAGGTCATGAGTTCAAGACCAGCCTGGCC